>NC_000007.14:89476475-89779506 GCF_000001405.40 Homo sapiens
TCCTGCAGTGAAAAATTATAGGCTCCCACTCTTTTGAATACTTAAGTCAGTTTAGAGACCAAGGCCCACTGATTGAAAGGAAGCCTACAACACTTGAGGGAGGACCCTACTGTGCCACCACAAGTATTTATGAAAGAAATAGTCCTCCAGTTTTCCCCAAAGTGAGTACAGGCATTTCCCAGGGTAACCACCAAGTGGGAAGAATGGATTACTGAAGTTTTTAAGGATTGCTAGAGACTGTCATGCGCCAAGAAAGATAGAATGGAACCAAACAAATCTTCAAACAAAAGCCAATCAATCAATCCAACAGCAAACAAAAATCCCTCTCAGTTCTGTTGCTAGAATGGAGTTTATGAATAACAGGTGACAAATGGAGTTTTTCAAGTCATTCTGACAGTTGGTCCAGCAGGTCCATGGAAAACCATGGTGTTACTCCTCTTGTCCTTGAATGCATAATTGGAATATATATACCACCATCTGGAAGGATTCTCATATCTTGTATTGGTTAGCTGACTTGAATATGGTAGGAATAGTCAAATAAAAGATCCTAAAATTACTTCCTATATATTCACTGGTCACAGAGAATAAATTAGGAGCAATATTGCATACTTTGAGTAGTTGCAGAAATTAGCATCACTATTAAAAGAATTGAAGGCAGCTTTGCACAATGTCTCATACTTGTAATCCCAACAATTTGGGAGGCCAAGAGGGAAGGATTGCTTGAGGGGAGGAGTTCGAGACCAGCCTGGGCAACACAGTGAGACCCCATCTCTACAAAAATTTTTTTAAAATACCTGGCATGGTGTCATGTGCCTGTAGTCCCAGCTACCTGGGAGGCTGAGGTGGAAGGATCACTTGAACCTGAAAGTTGAGGCTGCAGTGAGCCATGATCTTGTCACTTCACTCCAGCCTGGGTGATAGAATGAGACCCTGTCTCAAAATGTAAAAAGCATTAAAAGATGCAAGGTAGTTGGTCTCTACCATGTCTCTATTCAAATTACCGATTTAATATTTGCAAAATTCAGATGGCAGTAATCTACTATATATTACCTAGGTCATGCCCCAATCGTAGCTACTGTACTAGATGTGATAACTTTACTACAGCAAATCAACACATATCCTAGTACTTGATATTGTGTTGGCAATTTTGTCCTTCTCTGTCCCTATCAATAGGGAGGATCAAACTATTTATTTTTATATGACATGGGCATTATGTATTCAATTAGCCTCATAATTATATTAACTCCATAGGTCTCCTAACTGTCAGATCAGGATAGAAGTCCAGGTTCCCTACTTGGGAAATATTTTTAGCACTCATTTTAATATCAAAATAAATATTTGTCTTTTCTGACTATTACTTATCTGACTATTACCATTGAATTTGGGTCTTGGTGTTGAATTATCAGTTTATTAATTCTCCAAATCACATTAAACTATAAAAGTATGTTGTGAACAATTGGTTATTATCTAATTGGTTATTACAAATATACAGAATAAAGATTAACTTCATAATTGATATTTCATAAATTTGGATGACCTTAGTAATGCCCACGAATATATCCCAAAACAAATAAGAAAATACTTGTACATTTCTCACTTGTTTTGTGTTTGTATGTTGCCTATGTTGTTCTTTTTCTGAAAGCTGGATTGTCAGTTGTAAACGTGGCACCTCCATAAACCCCTTCTAAGGCTGGGAACTACATTTCCCAGAATCACCTCCCCTGTATGGTTTTGGGTTGGTTTGCCAATCAGAGAAATTCACAACATTTAGAAGATAGCAGTGAAAAAAAAAGGCCCTTGTTCCTGTGGCAGTCAAATGCATGACTTGACTTAACAGACTTCTCTATGAGCTCTCACCGTATGGTCATGGCAGGCAGGCATAATGCCTTCTTGGGCTTCATCACCAAATCTGGCTTCTGGTTGACATCAGTGATTGAGTGATTGCTTCTCCAGTTCTGTGGTGCTGGCTTACAGACCTTTGTTTTCCCACCTTTTCCCACTTCATAAGTTCTGGTTCCTACATTAAATAACCTATTATCATAATTCTGGTAGTGGCTATATTTTCCTTAGTAAATGATGACTGATAATAGGGAAGAAAAATAAACATTAAAATTTTGGGATCCATAGAGAAAGTTTAAATTTAAAGAATAGAAAAATTACTAAAATAAAAGAAAAATCATTTAAAAATGTACAAAATGGAGTGGTTTAATGAAAAATAATATTTTACCTGGACTGCGAAACCCAGAATAAAGACTGTCTTAAACTTAAGTAATAATGTAGATACAAATATTATTAATAAATACCACCAGGTGGATGTATACCAATGATTTCAATAAAAGATATCATTAAACCAGAGATAAATTGTTTGTGAAAATGAATAAAGTTTAGAACATACCCTGAGAATATAACATGATAATCATGAAAAAAGAATAACCCTAAAAGACTGAGAGTCTAAAGGTAACTAGAAGAACCCAAGTGTATAACCCCTTGTATTTTTTGTATATAAATTACATGGGAGAAATTCCACTATTTACCGTAGTCCTAGATACTTTTTTTGCCCTGGCCCTTATCATTTCTTTTTAAAGTTATTTCCTCAAAGAGGAAAAGTTGAAGGCAGCCCTTAAAGAGGGAATCAAGAAAATAACAATTGATTCTGAAGTCAAGGAACTGAAGATGTATAGGTTCACAGATTGGTTGGTCACATATCAATTAATTATACTTTTTATTTAAAGTAAGTTTTATACCAAATGTAGGACTAAAGACAAACTATATATGCAGATTATAAAACTCTGAGAGTACATGAAATGTTAAAAGTGCTGTAAATTTGCTAAGCATTACTAGTATCATCTTTGGAACAACTCTTTAGAAGAAAAAAGTGGCATTATTATAAGCAAAAAGTGGATTTTTTATGGCTATTATATATATTAAAATTTTTCTCAAATTGTTTCTTTTTATAATGGTCTATGTTAAGGCCTCATAATTTATTGAAAAGTTCAACTGACATAACCTCAAAAGTGCTTTAAAATGAATTAAGAAAAATGAAATTAATGCACATTATTTGCATGTAATGGATTTAGAAAAGCCACGCTCATATAGTTTTTTATCCATTATAAGTCAATACAGACCATCAATATTTTGACCAGTGAGCTACACCATACAGCAATTCCAGGCTCATTTACCCTGGCACCCAACATAGTTCAAATTCCACTTTCCATGGAAACATATTTCAAGTTTTACTCTCCAAGGGAAAACCAACACATTTGAATGTTAACTTCAACCAAGCCAAACCAGAAAATAAATTTGCTTTAGAAAATTCAGTATTCTTCAAGTCAAACCTGTATGACACAGGAATATCCCTGATGTTATAGATTATCTCTGTCATCACTCTACTTACTTAACTAGGAACAGGAAGAGAGGGTTGACTGAAATCACATTTTTACCCATAGAACAGTACAGCATTTTAAATCATATTTCTCAAGGGCCTTTGCAAAGTTATCATCTTTAGAAGTTGGCAGTCAAGTTAACTTGAACTCACTCAAATGTGAAATGTATTGAATAATTAAGTATCTATTCATTGCTGACAAGAACACTGAGTTTGTATGTACAAAATAAGTGAAAAAATAGACCAGTAGTAGAAAAATAGCCAACTGTAGCAGAGTTCACTTAATGTGTCTCTACTCTTGCTGCGCTAGTTATATTTGTATGTTAACCTCTTGGGGATTACATCTTAATAGAGATGTTAACCTCTACTAAAGAATGTTAAATGTATTGACTCTTTTATTCATTATTTTGTCTCCCCTCAGATACAATTTATAAAAAGTTGATCATTTCAAGACGGTGAAGTTGGTATTGAAATAGGAAATAGAAATCCGGTATTCACTGGATGCATGAAATCACCATAGAAATATGCTCAGAATACTATAAAATATTCTGGTCAGAAAGACTGTAGCCAAAGAGACATCAAAAGCAACAGCATCTAGTGCAATTAGTATAAAACGGTACTGAAAATCTATCAATAAAAATTAATGTATCAGCTGTGTAATTAATAAGCAAAGAGGTAGACATTATCCACCTACTGCTCTTATAAATTAATTTTGCAAATTGAAACAAAACCAACAATTTGTACTGGGAAATTTATTTGTTACTAACAACATGCCACTAGTTCAAGAGTTGCTATATCATGCAAAAAATCCCTATAACTAATCCGTCTCTTGTTCAACTCTAGCCTGAAAATGGATGAATGTGTCATGAGCTTCAAAACCCTTCTCTAAGAACTAGGAGCATCCCAAGAAATTATACAGTCTCATTTGGAACAAAATGAAAACTCAGTCCACCTAAGAGTTTCTCAGACATTTGACCTTTGTGTCTGCAGGAAATAAAAAAATTGAAACAGCATTTGTACTCTGTAATTGGTCCAACCTTAATGGAAGGTATTCACTGAGCAGAACACTAAGACAAGCTTTTGGTAAATGGCACATTACTTTATAAAGAGCTCTGCTCAAGGCAATTTATTTGAAACAGGGAGGCTTATTTAAAGCTACCACTTGGAATTGTGTAAAATCAAATCAATTTCATAGTTTCTTTAATTTTATTGACTTTCTTCAGCTTTTATATTTTGTACATTTGAAATAACGAAAACATTTGTGAGACATATCAATTTTAACTCCACTTTAAACTTAACTTTATCCTTTGAGTTTCTTTGTAAATGACGAGTTAATGGGTGCAGCACACCAACATGGCACATGTATACAGATGTAACAAAATTGCACGTTGTGCACATGTACCCTAGAACTTAAAGTATTATATATATATATATATATATATGAAAAGGTTTGTTTTCATATATATATATATATATATGAAAAGGTTTGTTTTCATATATATATATATGAAAAGGTTTGTTTTCATATATATATATATGAAAAGGTTTGTTTTCATATATATATATATATGAAAAGGTTTGTTTTCATATATATATATATGAAAAGGTTTGTTTTCATATATATATATATATGAAAAGGTTTGTTTTCATATATATATATGAAAAGGTTTGTTTTCACTCTGAATATAGCAATAGAAATCATTGTACCAGAGAGTACTCTGACAAATTTTCAGCATTTAATGAGAATGTGGGCAGGAAGTCAAATAACTTGTTCTTCCTGTAGGAAGGTAAAGATTATTATATTATTGGGCACTTGTGTTTACAATGGAAAGTCCAGAATAAAGGAGGCCTCAATATGCTCTGTGGAACACACTGTGCTAGAAAGAATGGCAGCAAATTTTATGGCAGATTTTGCCACAAGACCTCAATGTGTATTACGCCTTGGAACTAGATCAGCTTTGGAATTCAAACACTTCCTCATTTCCATCTCTCAACATTGGATTATCATTGCCCTGCAACGAATATTCCATTTGCCTTCATTTGTAGTTGCAGGATATTTCCTGGTAATCATTACATTTCTTGTAACCATAAAATAAGTACCAAATAATATCTGATAAGAACTTTGCTTCATTTTTTTCCTGCTAGAATCAAAATTTAGAGAAGCAAAGCATCAGAATCCATTTCCAAAATTTGATTGGTACCACTCAGTACAAAGACCCATATTCCATTGTAATGTTGATATTTTCATCTGTTTTTGTATCATGTGTATCTGCTTTATAATTTCCCTGCATTCTCAAGTATTAATTTTCAAATGATTTTTAACTTATTACTTCTGAATTGAAACACAATTGTTTTCATTTTGTCTACATGGATTTATAGCTTCATATAGTTGCAATCACAAAATTTTATACTTTTAGTAAGATTATATTCATCCAACAAGGGACTATATCCGGAATATACAAGGAACTCAATGCAACACCAAAAAAAGTAAATAATCCCATTAAAAAGCGGGCAAAGGGTTGCAATAAGCATTGTTCAAAAGAAGACATACAAATGGCCAACAAGTACATGAAAAAATGATCAGCATCACTAGTCATCAGGGAAATGCAAATCAAAACCACAGTGAGATAGAATTACACCACAGTTAGAATGGCTATTATCAGAAAAAAAAATAACAGATTCCGGCAAGAATACAGAGAAATGGGAACTCTTATGCACTGTTGATGGGAATGTAAATTAACACAACTATTATGGAAAACAGTACATAGATTTCTCAAAAAACTACAAATAAAACTACCATATGATTCAACAATCCCACTACTGGATGTTTATCCAAAGGAAATGAAGTCAGTGCATCAAAGAGCTACAGGCACTCCCATGTTTCTTGCAGCACTATTCATAACAGCAAAGATATGGAATCTACTTAAGTGTCCATCATCTGATGAATGAATAAAGAAAATGTGGCATATATTTACAATGGAATACTATTTGGCCATAAAAAGAATGAAATCCAGTGATTTGCAGTAATAGGAATAGAACTGGAGGTCATTGTGTTTAGTGAAACATGCCAGGCACAGAAGACAAATATTGCTTGTTCTCACTCATATGTGAGATCTAAAAAAGTTTGTTCTCATGGAGGTAGAGTGTAGAATGACATTTACCTGTGGATAGAAAGGGTGTGGTGATGGGGGGATGAAAAAAGGTAGGAAAATGGATGCCGACATACAGTTAAATAGAAGGAATAAGTTCTAATGTTCAATAGTACAACAGGATAACTATAATTACAACATATTACACATTTCAAAATAGCTAGAAGAGATTTTAAATGTTCCCAACACATAAAAGTGCTAAGTGCTCAGGGTGACTGATATCCTAAATACCCTGACTTGATCATTATACATTATATGCATGTAACAAAATATCACATGTACCCCATAAACATGTACAAGTATCATGTATCCATAGAAAAAAGTAAAATTCAAGCTAAAAGGATTATGTGTTAAATATTTTCTATTTTCACATTGCTTTAACAAAAAAGAGTGCACAATGATCCATTGTATTTATATACCTGTATCATAATTTAGTTAACTGTTTCTCTTCTGTGGAACAAATAGGTGGCTTAAAATTTATGCTGCTACATTTAGACTTTCAAGAAATACATATATATTCTCTTCATGCTTTGCTTCTTTTTTCTGATAAATATTTTTAGAATATAGGTCACCAAGAATGAGACTGAATAGTAGTATGAAAATTTTGAAAATTTAGATACGTATTTTATCATTAATTCTGATTTTTTATCATAAACTAATATTTAATATTTTAAACTATAAAATATATACAATATGAAAATAATAAAACTAACATCTAATTAAATACCACTGAGAGTTAATTGAATAAATTATAACACTGCCATATTTGATTCATATCTCTGTTTTTCTTTTAAAATAAAATCTTAGAAATGCTAGGGTCAGCTTTCCAACCCTTCATATGATTGCCTTCAACTTAAGTTCCACTCTGAAAATGGTACTATCATTCCCAGGCATGCTTTTGTGTTTTACCAGATTTGTATGTATCCATAAATAATATAAAGTACTGTTTAAAGAGTTTAAATATGCATATATTTTAACATATTAGTATCATGTTCTTTCTTCTTTTTTATTTTTACATAAATTTTTTTGAGTTCTATTCATGTTTTTTTCAGTAGTTATAATTCATCTATTTTAACTATTTAGTAGTTTATTGCATGTTTATTTGTCCGTTTTCATAGAGTATTTCATAGCATGTTTACCCATTTTCATGCATATGTCTTTTTGATTTTTATTCTATTACAAACTAATTTGGTAATGATCTTGTTTCTGTTTGTAAGCTTGTGCATTTGTACAAGAGGTTCTTCATGATTCATACTTAATGTAATTGCTTGGTTCCTTTTTACCCATGATCTCCCTTGGTGTTATTGGATCTAGTACACTTGCCAATTGAGATAATATGAAATTGTATTCCATTTTAGTTTTAATTACATTTCCATGATTACTGCTGAGGTTTAGCATCTTTTTGAGTATTACGGAATTTAGTTTACTCCTACGTGCATTACATTTTCATAATTTTGCCCAGTTTTTCCTTGGGTTGTTTTTATTTTCTTACTGATTCCAAAGGTATCTGTAAATTATTGAAATGAATTATTTTAGTATTGTGCTTTTCAGCTTTTCTTTTCACTTTAATTGTGCATTACATCATATAAAAGTTTTCATTTTAATGTAATCTTAGTTGTAAATCTTTTTAAATTTGGTTTGTTTTTCCTGTTATTTTTTTAAAAATTATTTCTCTCCCCTAACATCTAACAAATATTTTTCACTTCTGTTTTTTCTATAAATTTTCAATTTTGCTTTTCACACTTATGAAATTACTTGGTAATTATTCAGTTACTAATTAACCTTGTTACTTGGTCAATTTTGCCAACATTTTGAGTTATTTTAAAATAAAATATTTTGGTGTCTTTAATCTCTATTTTAAAGTTTCTATTTAATTACCTCTTGCTCTTTAACTTTGTTTTATTTGTTTATCTTCTTTACCTTCTCTATTTTCTTCTAATTTCTTGAGTTGGAAAACTTCAAGAAATATTCAATATTTATTTTTTTCTGATGTAAGCATTTCATGCCAGTTTTGTGAAACTATTGCTTTATACACATTTAACAAATTTGGACACATTGTATTTTCATTGTTATTAGTTCAAAATGTATTTTAATCTTTATTATTAATATAACTCCTTATCTGGTCTGTGAATTTTTTGGAAGATTATACCTGATTATATTTTAACCCAAATACATTGGGAAGTGTGTGTTAACTTTCTATTAATTTCTAACTTTTAAATATAACTAAACTTTGATTACTTCTTTGTGACCCAAGAGAGTGATGTCACCAAAATGGTGGAGTTGGGTCTTGTGTGGTGGCTCACACCTGTAATGCCAGCCCTTTGGGAGGCTGAGGCTGGCAGATCACTTGAGGCCAGGAGTTCGAGACCACCCTGGCCAACATGGCAAAACTCTGTCTCTACTAAAAATTAAAAAAAAAAAAAATTAGCTGGCCCATCGTGGTGCACGCCTGTAATCCCATCTACTTGAGAAGCTGAGGCACGAGAATCGCTTGATCATGGGAAGCAGAGGTTAAAGTGAGCTAAGATCGCACCACTGCACTCCAGCCAGAGTGACAGAGCGAGACTGTGTCTCAAACCAACAATGACAACAACAACAACAACAACAAAATGGTGAAGTAGAAGTAATCTGCTTTCACCCTCCCCACAGAAAACAAAACAAAACAAAATCCTGTCCAGTGCCAAAATTATCACCACCAGTACTCCAGAACTCAAAACTGAGGCTGTGATAATCCTTGAGCCACAGGGAAGTAAACTGCATGGGGAGGGTAGAAGAAATGGACTTTTCCATGTGCTACATGCTTCCTCCAAACTATCAGGCACTTCACAGAAAAGTTCTCCTGGAGTCACTATCTCTGGAAAATGCGATGTTGCAGCAGACAGCTGGTTTCCCCATCATCTTGGGTTCCTACACAGAAAAGCTGTTTTTTCTTCAACCCACTTAAAGCAACTTGAGTGCCTTTAGGGAGAGGAACCCCTAAAAGGCTGCTGGAAATAGACAGTGGAGGTGGGGTTAGCAGTCCCAGTGCACAAAACATGGGCACTGCTCTCCAGCTCAGACAAAGGAGATGCCAAATCAAAGAGGTAGTGCAACACTTGGCATGAACCCCTAACCAGCCTCTCTACACAGCCAGGGAATCCCCTTTGGGTTCCTACCCCCGACCCCAATTCAGGACAAATGGCACATCAAACTTTTGTAAAAGCTGAGGCAAACTTGAAATTAGGGCACCATGTAGTGCCAAGAAGGAGGCAGCAAATTAGGAATAAGGGAAATCAACAGTCAAACTGCATAGATACTCTAAACATACATAGACTAGAAAGGCCAAACTAACCCAGACAGGAAAGCTGGGAATACATAACTAATCCTTCAGTGCAAAGACATAAACAACATGTGTCCATTAGAAACAGGTGTCCATTAGAAACAACAGCAAACAAGGAATTATGACCTTCCCAAATGGACAAAGCCAGGAGCCAGTGACCAACCCAATGAGACAGCAATATAAGAACTCTTAGATCAATAATTCAAAATAACAGTTTTGAGGAAACTCAGCAAACTCCAAGATAAAGCACAAAAGCAATTTATCAGAAAAATTTAACAAAGAGGTTGAAATAATTAAAACAAACAAACAGAATCTTGGAAATGAGGAAAACATTGGCTGAAATGAAAAACTCATCAAAAGGTCTCAACAGCAGAATTGATCAAAAATAATCAGTGAGATTGAAGATAGGCTATTTGACAACATACAGAGGAGAAAAAAAAAAGAAAGAAAAGGAAGGAAGAATGCCTATGAGATACAGAAAATAATCCCAGAAGAGCAAATCTGAGTCATTGTCTTTCAAGAGTGAGGTGAGAAAGAACAAGGAGTAGAAAGCTTATTCAAAGAAATAGTAACAAAAATCTTTCTAAACCTACAGAATGATATACATATCCAGGTACAGGCAGGTCAGAGATCACCAAACAGATGCAACCCAAACAAAACTACCCCAGGCATATAATTCTATGTGATCCAGTTTCTTGAATATTTCTTACGATATGTCATGTAACCTGTTACTTGGGAAAGTTTTCCAAGTGTTACACATACATAGTAGTCAGCAATGCTATTTAACAAGTGTTTCTAGATCTTCTCAGTTGTGATGAAGCTTATATTGCCTGTATCCCTTGTCTCTATAACGACTGTGACACAATGCTTAATTGCATTGGCATGTGGCAGTAGCATGAAATATATTTTCACTAACCCAGTGAGAGTTTGGGTGTTTTTGTAACTGCAGGATTATCAGCCAATGCTAATGTGGTGGATGTGGGGTAATATTAGAGTCCTAGTGGTGAGAAAGGTGACAATCCATGTTACACATGAGCAACACTTATGAAGCTGTTATGTGCTATAACTTGCTTAAACATGTATCTAATAAACTTGTAGCACTACAAGAAGTATTTGAAAATAAAAACAATATTGGCACATATTGATTGGTATTGGCTGTGCTTACCTAGCTATTATGAAAGAGACCCAAAGAAGATCTGCTTTTAAAAAGTATGTTTTATCTCATCATTTGGTATAGGGTTCTATACTACTGAGTCAGATGAACTTATTACTTGTTTTTGAGATTTTCTGTATCCTTACTAACTTCTGTCTAGTGGATCATTTAAAACTCCATCACTACAGAGTAAATATTTCTTGAAAAGAATGTGAAAAGTATCCAGCATAAACATGGAACACATGGAATGTAATTAAAATTACAAACTTCGGTCAATCAAAAGACACCATTAAAAGAGTGAAAAGGCAAGTCAGAGAGTGAGAGAAGATATTTGCAGTACAAAGAAAAAACACACAAATATTCTCGCAAATCAATCAGAAACAAAAGTCAAGCCAAAGAAAAAAATGTAAATGATCTTTTACATCCCCAATGATATCCAAATAATCAATGCACATTTAAAAAGGTCCTTAAAGATATTAGTCATTAGGGAAATGCAAATCAAAACCATGGTAGCATACCTACTATACCCTAAAAATGTTAAAATGAAAAAGATGAAAAATAGTCTCACATACTGCTGCTTGCAGTGTGAATTTGTACTTCTTTGCAAGACTGTTTTTGCTGGATCAACTAAAGCTCAAAATATGTGTAATCCTATGAACTTTGTGCTAAACTAGGGAATTATTAAACAGCCATGGAAATTTATAGTGACTCACATAGAAACTCATTTAAAAATTCACTTTTTTTTTTCAAATTTTACCCCTTTATTTTTTGCTGTGATTGGCAAAATGATTGATTTAGTAGTAGAAGTTAATTTTTGGTCCACTGTTATTGATTTCAACTCTTCCTCCTCACTTTTACCTTTGAGATGGCTAGTGCTGCATGTGCCTCTCTTTAATGTGTTCCATTAAAGCTTTATGTACAAAAATAGGCAATGGGTTATGTTTGGCTTGTGGGCCATAATTTTCTGAACATTAGTTTAAAAGGTTATCCTTCCCAAAGCTGTATGCTGGGATTTTAACACATGACTCAGGGAAACACTATAACTCAATGTCAAAGGTGCACTTTAATGGCGACAATTTCAGGTTCATTGGCCGAACTGTTGTTAGTAATATATTTTTAAGCCATTCAGCATCCAGCAAATTGGATTATTAAACAGATACAGATGCCAATGAAAATACGGCATGAAAAAACAGTTTATATTTACTATAAGCACTATATAAAAGTCTAACACTGACTGAAGTTCAAAAAAAGCAACTCAAAAAGAATAATAATTTATATTAATCTTTCCAAATATTGTCAACTGATGATTGTGGTAGTTGGGAAACTTTAAAAATAACAGAAAGTATGTAGTGATCAGATATTAGAGTTTGCTAAATTATTTGGATTCCCATTTTTAAAAGGTCTCATTAATTTTGCAAAATGATTGTCCAAGTTGTATGAGTGGAGAAATTATCTTCCCTAAAATATCCACATGGAAATCAATATATAAGCCATAAGTCTCAGTTAGATAGAGGAACACAAAAATAAGTTTCTGTTAACTAACTTTAATGAATAATTGCAATTTTCTTTCTAACAAAGGAGCAATTCTTTCTTGGTTAATGTTTTTGTATCTGTGGTTATATGTAGACTGTAAAATTACATTTATTTTTGCAATTCTAGCTTGAATAGATGTTTTATCTTTGGAACTTGTCAGAAAACCATGGGTTTTCAAATAAGACTAAAGCTATTTTATTAAAAAGTTGTATGATAAATTTGAAGACTTCTGCAAAGGACAATCCATGGTTTCAGATCATTTTTGGAAAAAAAAAATCAGTTAACCAGTATTTTCTGCTGTACTGTCATTTGTAATTCTTTAAGTTTCTTTGTGCATGTAGCATTGTAGCTGAGATATATTTGGCCATTGTAGCAATATTCTTCTCTTCACTAAACCCAGGTAACTTAATAAGTTTCTTGAAACTACATAGAAGAATTGAAAGTATTATTACAACAACATTTAGAACATCTAAAAAAAGGCATATTCAAAGATTTCAGTGGTCACTTAGCAGGAAATTTTCATTTATTTTGCCAGTATGATTCTATGAGCTTTTATAATACCAGGCAGGTCAGGATATCAGGTAATGTTTCAAGTCATTTCACAATACTTTTAAAGATGTACGTTTAGTCTTGAAATTACTATAATCCTTTTATTTTTCCTTAATAATTCATACCTTCATTTATTCAACAAACACATTCTCAACCTACTACATGATAATATTTGGGAAATCAGGGATGAACAAGTTAGATGAATTTTCTGCTCTTATAAAATGAGCATTCTAGTTGTCAGAAACAAACATTAAACAAGCATAGAAATAAACCTGATAAGTTTAGAATATGATAAATACCATAAGAAAAATGGGCACATGACATTAAAGAATGTGACAGTTACTGAAC
Organism: Homo sapiens; assembly: GCF_000001405.40. Classification (NCBI taxonomy): domain Eukaryota; kingdom Metazoa; phylum Chordata; class Mammalia; order Primates; family Hominidae; genus Homo; species Homo sapiens. Next base: position 89,489,909 of record NC_000007.14, read on the forward strand.
CCAGTAGTACCTAACAAATGAGGGACCCAAAGATTCATTTGCAAAGGAAAAGTGCAAACATGAAGTAGTATGTCAAAATTTCCTAAAATATAAGAATTTTCTAAGGAATTATGGCTATTTTATGACAACAATAATCTGATGGAGAATATAAAATATTTCAAGAATTTAAACTCACAATAAAATAATTTACACTTTCCTTTATTTTTTAAAGTTCCTCTAATCTGATGGGACACTCCCGCAATGATGCTTCAGCTGTATTTTAACCTCAAGAAACCCTAAGATCCCTCACTCCTATGCTGCTGTCAACGGGAGGCTAAGAAGCACAGAGAAATAGGCCATACAAAGTCTACCTCTCTGAACACTCTGGTTTGTTGAGATGACAGATGGTTAAGTCTCTCTCTGACATCAAGAGTTAGAGCCAAAGTTATCATGGAATTGTTTCTTTTGGAATGTCAAGTTTATGTGCACCGTATCACTCTTCTGAAATGGACTCAAGATTCAGGGTCTCATCTCACTTTTGATTTAACTACACTCATATTCATCCATGTGTGAAAAATGGTGATCACACTAGAAAGCTTGTTCTTACTGTTTCCTTGCATATCTGAATACCTGCATCACATTCAAATCTAACTCACTGCCTTAATTTAATAGCTGAAAGAAACACTGAACAAGTCACACTCCTGCAAGGGCATGGAACACAGAATGGCAAGTATATCCACTAGGATTGTATTTTTCTACAAGAAATAGCCTGGCAAATGGTGGCCTAAATTACTAATCAGTTTATTTTATTCTTCTACAGAAGTTAGCAAACCATGATTGGTCTTAAGGAGCCATCAAAATCCAATTTCCTTCAAGCTTTCTGCCTAGCCTTCCTTCACATATAGCTTCCATTCTCCAGTTTCCCCCTGTGAACCTGGTAAAAAGAGATTTCAAAGTTCAAACCCGAAATATAAATAATTATTCAGGAATATCTTAACCAATTTATTGCATGTATAGTTTGTAGTTTTATAAATGCACAGCTTTGGGAGGCCGAGGCGGGTGGATCACGAGGTCAGGAGATCGAGACCATCCTGGCTAACACGGTGAAACCCCATCTCTACTAAAAATACAAAAAATTAATTACCCATGCGTGGTGGCGGGTGCCTGTAGTCCCAGCTACTCAGGAGGCTGAGGCAGGAGAATGGCATGAACCCGGGAGGCGGAGCTTGCAGTGAGTCGAGATCGCGCCACTGCACTCCAGCCTGGGCGACAGAGCGAGACTCTGTCTCAAAAAAAAATAAAATAAAAGCACAGAAGTATTATGCGATGAAATTCCATGAAAATGTATCTTTCAGTAATTATAAAGTAAAATACCTGTGATAAGAAAGCATGTACCATGGTTGAATTGGCAGTGTATCTTTTATTCATACTTCTTAATAATGGGCATTTTCTTTGGTGTGTGTATGTGTATGTATATATCTCCTATCTTGTGCTTATGTAGTCTTGATTAATTATTCAAGGCATCACAGAAAACAGTAGATACTTTTGTTTGGAATTGAAGAATTGCTTTGCAATTCATATAAAGCATGTAGGTACCAGGAGTTTAAGTAACAAATATAAAAAGATTATCTGGAGCAATTCTCAAAGCCTTTACTATGTGAATGCACATGCAGAATTTCCAAGACGATATTACAGTATTCAGCATTTTCCATGATCCATATTTCACCATGAACATTTTTTCTGACAGATTCTCTTACTGAGATACCTTGGAACATGGTTTGAATAATATTGCTCTAACTTCTTTCATGTCAGGAAGCTCTGAGGTAATTTTTAATATTTTATACACTGTACTATTTAACAAAGGAAAATATATTATTTGTTTTACCAATGTCATTTTCCTCGACAACTGCTACAAATTGGAACTTAAGTTAGATAGCTACTTTATAATATATTTGTATTAATCTAGAAGGCTTAACTATACCTAGATTATACAGTAGTTGCTCAATAAATGCCCATTGAATAGAATCATAAACTAACTTCATTTCCAGACTGCACAAAAGAGTCAATCTAGTAATGACTGGTGGAGGTGGGGCAGGATAGGGTCATTGCTAGGGCTCTTACACACACATCATACTATGTATCACTTTTCTATATTTATCACTCCATTAAGTCTGTTCAAAATCAACCTTCCTATCTAAAATTACCAAGAATTCAAATTGAATTCCTTAGATGCATAGTGATCCAATTGCTTGTTCTATTTGATTCACACACAGGCAGCAATCTGTTTTCTTTCCAAATTGTATTTGTTGTCATTATTTTAATCTAGCATTTGTTTCATGTTATTGGAATACTCTGAATTATATAGGAGGTTTATACAATAACAAACAGTTAAAGAAACAAGTCAAAGTATCACTCTCCCCAGGTGAACATCCATTTTAGCTATGTGTCTATTTCTTTTGAACCCAAATTTTAGACAGTGAAATCTGTGGTTTATTCTTTTAACAGTTGCCATAGACTTGCGGAAATGCCTGCTACATACATGCGTGTTGAACAATGAACTTCATAACTGACATATTTATCAGAGAATCAGGATGAGAGAAGGTGATCACTTAAAAAGAAAAGCCTAGTTTGTATAAGATGGATGTTGATCACGTGCTCTCCAGCATCATAATTACATTTGTTCTGTTCAATTAGGGTTGGGTACTAGACAGAAAATATTTTGTAAAAGGAAATACCCACCTTCTTTGAAGCACTGTTATACATAAATTCTTTCCAAAAGTATTTTTTAAAATTACAGAGAAAATACAAAATTGTAAGTGATTCATTTTTTATTATTATAAAAAGACACACTTAGGCCAGTAGTAAAATTGTTGAGTTTCTTTCTCCTAATAGTTAATTCACCATATAAAATATTTAGTTTATTCACAGCAGCTTGTTATGGGATTCTAATTGCCTATTTTTCCAGAAATGGTGAACAATCTTTCATTTAAAACAGGGAACAGAATAGATTAAACATGAAGGGAAAATATACAGGCAGTGAGGCCCTCAACTTCTTCAGCACTGTTTTGTTCTGTCCTCTTTTTCTCTCCCTCTCCCTCCTTCTGTGTATTTCTATTCCTTCTATCCCACACTTTTCATTCAGAACTGCTCATTTTTCATTTTATAAATGACAAGGGCCATTCCAGCCTTATTAAGTGGAAACTTGACCGATAGCATTGAAAAGGTCACCTGTAATTCAGGCTACAAGTGATAAAAATTTAGGCGTTAAGATCAACATAGACTGGGAGTAAAATTTTAAAAATAGAGATAAAGATTTATAGGCATGAGGCTATTCAAGAAGACCTAGTGCTGCCAGTCACTGAGAAATCAACTTGATGACCAGAAAATAAGATCAGATTAAGAAATATGAGGTTGGTAGGGCCTCCTGAGGCACAGTCAGGGGACACTGAAATGTATTTTTAGTGGATTATGAAGGGTCTGGGAATGGATAACTCTGAAATCCTTTTACAGTACATCACAATGTGTCACATATTCCTTGAGAAACTCAATTACCAAACATCCCAGACAACATGATTGGCTCTAGTTGAAGTGAGAAAAACTTTAAAAGTGACATGAAATGTTAAATTGGCTTTAGGGTTCAGAAAAGTATTTTATGTAGGTATACACCCTGATTTTCTTCAGCATAGAAAGCTTATATTTATAGAAAAGTACATATTACCTGTGGAAAAAAATTAAGTAGACTTTAAAGGAATATTTAAGGATTATTCTGAGCCTTTAACATGACCAGACATACATTTTTATTTATAATTATTTAAAGTCTCTCTATTTTATTCTTCCTCAGCTTTAATTCACCTGGGAGAGGTGCTTAGGAGCTAATTGAAAGTAAACAATTACAAAAAGTGTATGTTTTGAAGAATTGTTTTATGAAGTGGGGAGCGGGGAGAGTTTTTCTTAAGGGAAAGAACAAGATAGAATTATTGAAATAAATATTAGAAGAAAGAAATGAATTTATTGTATGTGCAATAATGTACTGGAATAAATGCATCAAACACTTTTTCTTCAAGCATAATTGCCTGGGAATAATAGTAGATTTAAATTCAAATTTTATTTTGTGAAGGATAACATTTAAATTAAATTTTTTTTTGTGAAAGCAACTATCTTAACTATCTGTGCTAACGACAGCTCTATGATAGAAGGAACTTTGTTTATTATGCTTACTATGCAGATGCAGAAACACAGAAAGGAAGAGGATTAGCAACTTTCCCAGATCTGAGTTGAGCTGAGATTTGAGTCAAGGCAATATTGCTTCTGGGGCTGTAACAACTACATTTTATTGTCTCCTGAACAGATACTTCCTTTTCTTACTTAATAAGAATAGACCTTGGAGGTCTGGACCTGGACATGAACGTACACTTTTCTAAAGAAGATATACACATGGCCAACAAGCATGTGAAAAAAAGCTCAATATCACTGATCATTAGAGAAATGCAAATGAAAATCACAATGAGAGACCATCTCACACCAGTCAGAATGGCTATTATTAAAAACTCAAAAAATAACAGATGCTGGCGAGGTTGCAGAGAAAAGGGAACACTTATACACTGTTGGTGGGAGTGTAAATTAGTTCAACTATTGTGTAAAGCAATATGTCAATTCCTCAAAGAGCTAAAAAAGAACTACCATTGGACTCAGCAATCCCATTACTGGGTATATACTCAGAGGAATATAAGTCACTCTACTATAAACACACACGCATGCAAATTTTCATTGTAGCACTATTTACAATAGCAAAGACATGGAATCAACCTAAATGCTCATCAATGACAGATCGGATAAAGAAAATATGGTACGTATACACCATGCAATACTGTGCAGCCATAAAAAAGAATGAGATATTTTGTGGGAACATGGATGGAGCTGGAGACCATCATCCTTTGCAAACTAACAAAGGAACAGAAAAGCAAATAGTGCATGTTTTCACTTATAAGTGGGAACTAAATGATGAGAATTTATGAACACAAAGTAACAACAGACACTGTGGCCTACTTGAGGGTGGAAGGTAGGAGGAGGGAAAGGATCAGAAAAAATAACTGTTGGGTAATTGGCTTATGTATTAGTCCCTTCTCATACTGCTATAAAGACATGCCTGAGACTGGGTAATTTACAGAGAAAAGAGGTTTAATTGACTCACACTTCTGCAGGCTGTACATGTACAGGAGGCATGGCTGGGGAGACCTCAGGAATCTTAAAATCATGGCAGAAGGGCTAGGGGAAGCAAGCAAGTCTTCACGTGGCAGCAGGAGAAAGAGAGAGCAAAACAAAGGGGAAAGTGCTACACACTTTCAAACAACCAGATCTCATGAGAACTCACTATCACAAAAACAACAAGGGGAAACTGTCCGCATGATCCAATCACGTCCCACCAGATCCTTCCCCCAACACTGAGGATTACAATTCAACATGAAATTTACCGGGGGGACAAAGAGTCAAACGGTATCAGCTTAGTACCTGGGTGAGGAAATAATCTGTACAACAAAACCTCATGACAAACATTTACCTATATAACAAACCTGCACATGTACCTAAAATCTAAAGTAAGAGTTAAAAAAAATTATACAGGAGTATACTTAGAAGGCATAGTTTCTGAATTCTAAATCATTATTCATAAAAATTTTACCCAATATTTTTCATTGCATATTTCCTATAAAAAATAATAGATCAAAGACTACTAATTGTAAAAAGAAAAAAAAAGCAAGCTGCTAATATTTATTGTGCCTTTACTCTTTGCCAGGCCTTATTAAACGCTTTACCTTTGTTACACTGTTTAACTCTCCAAATAACTCTAAAATGTAGTTACAGTTATTGTTTCTGAGAAAGGATGGAACTGAGGCTCTATAAGTTCAAGTCACTATAGACTACTGGTCTAGGCCAGTAGTTCTATTTTTAACACGTTTATGAAACACCTTGAAAAGTTATTAAAAGAGTTCCCTGGTTTCAACACCAGAAGATCTAATTCAGCCCAAAAATTTGCTGATGCTTCTGGTCAGAGGACCACACTTTGAAAACTACTGCTCTCCTAATGGTGTTAGCAATTGTCTGAATCCTGAGACTTTAACCAACATATGAACACACAAAACGTGATGTTCATTCCGTAGATATTGATTGATGCTGAATCCAAACCTCATCAAACTAAATTATTCATGTACCATGACAGACAGGAATCCTAAAGGCATTTTTATAAAAGACATTTGCCTCTAATCCTTAAGGACAGACACTTAAGTAGCACATTTTGGTACATAGAAATTAGATTTCAGTACTAAACTCTACTCACTTTTCTCAAAGCTATTAAATCAGCAAATAGTTGGTATCAAGCATCATTGTAAATGAATGAAAATTGTTGTTTTAAATAATAAACTTTAAAAGTGAGAGATTAATAGATTCCCAAATTGATAAAGCCAGTTAGTGCCAGATTCTACCACACCCTATTTTCAGTTTCCTTGAATGAGTAGTATGTCAACAGCTCCCCTTGGTCCTCCAGTATAATTTCTCCCCAGATTTCATTTAGGTACATGACTACTGATAATTAGCAATGGAATTTAAATTCCTCAGGAGCTCTTGCATCTAGGCATGGGACCAAGGCTAAGTTCTAGTCAATGGGATGTAAGCAGAAATGATGTGCGTAACATCAAGAATCAGTTTTTCAGAGAGATAATTTGCTTTTCTTTTCTCCTTCTTGTCTTTGATAGCATCTTCAACCTTTCTGGACTACAGCACCTGCCAACTGACCCCCACATCATGGCTCCAACGCTGGCTTCATCACATATCTTCTCTCTCAGTCCCTTTGGCTCTCAGGGTGCAATAGCTTAACAAAATTGCTGATCTAGGTGCCTCAGCATTGTTTCTTTGTCATAGTCTCTGTATTATCTTATTTTGAGCCATTCTTTTCCTGCAAAGATCCTAACTGAATGAGATAACTACTTCATAAGCTATTTGTAAGGTTTAAATAAATTAATGCATATTTAATACATGAAGCTGTGCCTAGTTTATAGTAATTACTCAAAAATGTTACTTATTTCTCCATCCAAAACATACAAACAATAGTATATCCTTCATGAGGACTTCTTGTGGACTAAAAAGGCAGTATCTTTAAAGTGTTTTGCAGTCTCTGACAAAACCACACTATTACCCTTACTCAAGGTTTTAATTGATTGTATGTACACAAGGTTAGTCTATATGAGCTTTGGAAAGATGGGAAATTCAAAGTAGAACAGTTAAGGAAGGAAAGTGTATGTTCCACTAATAAAATATATATTAGTTCCTGTAATCAGATTGTGAGTGACAATGGAATCCAGTGGACCCATTTTGCCCTCAGACAGATGGCTGAGAAATTGCTGGTGTGGCAAGCAAGCAACTCTGACTGCAAAATGGCAGACTCATTTGCTTGGGGGACAGGAATGAGGGATGGTTCACATGGGAAGCACAAAGTCACCCTTGATGAAAGTTCAGAGAAGAAAGAGATCATCAAACTTACTCTAATTACCAAAAGGTGATGACATTAGCAGAAGAATTAGAGTTTGAAATAGTACTTTTGGTAGAGAGGACTGATTTCTAAGAAAGCCCATACTCATGATACAAAGGCAGTTGGTGGGCCCCAAAGCAGAATAGCTGCCTCAGGTGGGCAAGTAGCTAAAGTTCACCAAGCACTGTGTCCCAAAACTCACATACACGCTATACCTACCTGCATCCCATGATGCCAGGAGAGCCACATTTCTGTGGCAAGGGACAGTGAACAGAGAGGAGCCAACATGGGAATGAGAAACAGAGTTATAAACAAAAAGCAAGAGAGGAACCCTCAGGGTAACAGAATCAGTCACTCTTGAATATGTGACAGAGTAGAAGGTAATTACCTCTTATATCCGGATATTGAAATTCCAATTCTAGTCTCTGGACCATACTTCTTTGAAGGTTAGAAATATCAGTAGCTCAGTTGGATCTCAGATTGGAGCTGCTATGTGTTGAATTGCACCCCTCCAAAATTCACATGTTGAAGTCCTAACTCCCAGTATCTCAAAATGTGACCTTATTCAGAGGCAGGGTATTTACAGAGATAAGCAAGTTAAAATGAGACCATTGGGGTGGGCTTTAAACCAATAAAAAGGGGAAATTTGGAGACAGATTCACACAAAGAGACAATGCATGTGAAGAGAGAGGCAGAGATTGAAGTGATGCTCCTACTAGCCCAGGAACACAAAGATTGCCAGGAAACCTCCAGAAGCTAGATGAGAGGCACGGAACAGATTCTTCCTCACGATGTTCCAAAGGACCCAATCCTGCTGACACCTTGATTGCTTAATTCTAGCCTCCAGAACTGTGAGACAATAAATTTATGTTGTATGCCACCCAGTTTGTGGCACATTGTTTCAGCAACCCTAGAAAACTAATACAGAAGTTGACAAGATCCCTGTATTAGTTAAGATTTTTAAAAAAATAAATGATGAAAACAAAACAAAATCCCTTTTATGAACTTAACTCTAAATGTGAAATGTGTAGGATCAGTAAATGAAACTCTCAGGAGTGTACATGTTCTGAGCATATGTTGATTCAGGTAGTTAAATGATACTATCAGGAGTTTAACTCTAACTCTGGCTCTCGTTGCTACTTCTTGCTTCGGGTTGGTTTTTTACCCTGGCGAGCTCTCTTCAAATGAAAATAAGATGGGACTTAACAATTCCAGCTTTAAGAAAGCTGCAACCAGCAATTAAAGAAAGTTAAACTACCTCTTCTTTCTCAGGATCATAGCAACATAGGTTTTACCTCCCGTATTACCAGCGTTACTTAATTATTGCCAGTTATTTCAAACAGCTGGAAACAACTTGGAAAGCTGCTTAACTAGAGAGGTAAGTGGGTAAGAATAGTTGAAGAATTGATAATTTATTCAGTGCGATTTCTCTCTTTTCTATATTGTTCTCTGTTATGGTGGAGACAAATATGGATATTTTTATTTGAGCATGAAAATCAAGAAGAAAAAGAAATAAAGAAATAACAGGTAAGATATAAATTATGAATTTTTTTCTTAACCTTTTTTAAGGTGTAATGGTATTTCCAAAAGTATCTCTTCCTGAAAAGAGGAAGATTTTATTGTTTAAAACATTTTGTAGAGAGGTTAGAAATCCTAGATTTCACCACTAAAACAACAGAAAAATAATTTAACATTTTGGGAACCCAACTATTCGTGTGTTAAAAAAAATAGTTGCATTGTCTGAGCAGGGACATGGATGGAGCTAGAGGGCATTATCCTTAGCAAACTAACAAAGGAACAGAAAACCAAATACCGCATGTTCTGTCTTATAAAAAGGAGCTAAATGATGAGAACTCATGGACACATAGAGGGGTACAACACACACTGGGAGCCTATCTGAGCATGGAGGGTGCAGAAGGGAGGGGATCAGGAAAAATAATTGATGGGTACTAGGCTTAATCCCTGGGTGATGAAACAATCTGTATAAAAAACCACCATGACAGAAGTTTATCCATGTAACAAACCTGCACTTGTACCCCTGAACTTAAAATGAAAGTAAAACAAAATTAAAAAATAGACACGCTATGATTTCTGTGATTTTTGTAGTTGGAGGCACCAGGGATTTTATGCAGCCATGTTTTTTTGGTTGCATTTATGTAAGCTTTTGTTTTCAAATAATTTTTTATTGAAAATTTAAATTTAAGAAAGCATTAATTTTTAAAACTATTATCTTGATCATAAAAGTCTTCAGTACTTGTTGCTGAGTATTTTTAATGTAGAATTTATGGAGAAGAAAATTAGAATTATCAACATAACTATGGTACAGAAATAACTATTGTTAATGTTATCATGTATTCTCTTTAAGCTATTTTTCTATAACACACCTATGCACCTTAGGAAGAGGACATGCTATTGGCTTATTATTTAACGCTTGTTTTAATGTCTCTTTGATTTTGTGTCCTTTGTTTTAACTTGCAACGGATATATTTGTGAGGAAGTAGGGAATTAATAATAGAGAAATAAATTAATTTGGCAAATGTATTTTGCAACTTCTTTATCAGATTCAATTAAATGTACAAGTCACTTTCCCTTAGAGAGTTGCTTATCTAATGTATTCCAATAAGAAATTCATTGATGTGAATTAAATCATTTATTTCTAATGTTATTAGGGATAAAAATGTAACAGACCTTATCAGTCACACAAAGATAATAGGAAACAGGTAAGGAGAGTAGACTTACAAAGGAAATGTATAACCTTCGAACAAAATTGACCACCAGAGAGGCACAACTATATGCATGAGCTCTGCATGCAGACAAGCAAATGGAACTGATAGGCATTTTAAAGACATCTGATAAAATAAATGGCTGACAACATTGCACAATAACTTCCCCTTGTGACCACTGCTTCCTTTCTTGGATGTATAATAACTGAGACTTTTGAATGTGACACATTTATCCATTTGTGAAAATAATATAACTCTAATATAAATTATTTTAGCTGAAAATAATATCACATTCCTGTTCCTGTTTTGATGGCAGAGACTAAACAATAATATTTCAAAGGGCGCCTACATACACATACACACACCCATACCCCACCTTAGTAATGCTGAAACATAAGAAACAATTGAAAAATAACGTAAGTTAATTTGGAAAATTATATAGTGCAATTAAAGAGTCTTATCGAAAATCATTTATATGCAAATATATTTATAAATGTGGACAATCTATAACAGGAAAACCTTATTCTGATTAGTCTTAAATATATGAGTTTATTTATATATTCTATTCAGTCTTCTACTGAATTCTGCATTACATTTGTATAGTAGATATCCAAGGAAAAATGTTCAGTTGCCCCTCATTACTACTATAATGAAATTAAGTTCTGATGACAGAGTAATATATTGAATAAAAAAGAATCTATCTGAAACTTTCATCAACTCATAATGAAAAAGCCATAGGAATGTATGTTGAAAAACACATAGTGTTTGTTCCCTGAAGTGAATAAAAATAGAAAATGTGGAGAAAAGAGCAGTTTATAGGATAATACTTAGAGGAACTGGGTTAACATTTTCAATGAAAGGAATACAAGCATCATTGGGTCCTTAGAGACTAGAAACTATAAAAAGAGAAATTGACCATCAGGCTTGAGTAAGGAAGGCTGAGGAACTAGGATATTTCAAGCTTTTAAAACAAGGAAAAGCATTTCACCATTCACTAAACAACTTAACCTGGATCACTTTCTGAATCCAGTATGTGCTCTAAATTGCCCCTGGAATAATTTAGAAAGATGCTTCATAGAAAAAGAGAGCATTCAAGTTATCTTAGCGCCTGGAATTATTCCAGTACTCAAGAATTAGATCTCTACTCACTCAATTTACCAAATCCATTGCAAAGAGACTGGGGACTACCGATGTAAAAGTAAGCTGATAACAGTGGAAGTTAACCATTTTCACTTAAATTGTTATACAAAAATCAAACTTTTTTACTAGTACAGAATATAGATAATTAACACCATTTCAAAACACTTTCCTTTCCCTCCTAAGTACCATAGCTCCCAGTCTTAGAGGCATCAGAAGACCTAACATCTAAAAATCAAAATTTCAAAAGAAATGTTACACCCCAATATACTGATAAAATATTGAAACTTATTTTTATATAGTGCTTAGCATTATAAAAAGCATTTGCAGCCAGGCACAGTGGCTCACGCCTGTAATCCCAGCACTTTGGGAGGCCGAGGCGGGCGGATCACAAGGTCAGGAGATCGCGACCATCCTGGCTAACACAGTGAAACACCGTCTCTACTAAAAATACAAAAAATTAGCCGGGCGCGGTGGCGGGCGCCTGTAGTACCAGCTATTCGGGAGGCTGAGGCAGGAGAATGGCATGAACCTGGGAGGCGGAGCTTGCAGTGAGCCGAGATAGCACCACTGAACTCGGGCCCGGGCGAAAGAGCAAGACTCCGTCTCAAAAAAAAAAAAAAAAGCATTTGCAAACAAATTAAGTCATCCTCATAACTACATTTTGAGCTGGTAGAACAGGCATTATCACCATTTTAAACACAAGGGGATTAAGACCATGAAGTTAAATAAAATAATCAAGACTAATTTTTATTTTATTTTATTTATTTATTTTTTATTCAAGCACCAACGTGAACCAGATAATTTTTTTAAAATGATAATACTGTTACAACCAAGACTCAGTACTCTAGTGTTTATATTGTGTATTTTATATAAAATTACACAAAATAGCCATAAAATAATCAAATCCAGATACACTGTTTTGACTTCTGCTACAACTACACGTGTCTCCATAAAACAGAAAAGGCAGTTAAGAAAAATGGGATGCTCCCTCCTCAGACTGGGTTTCGGGAGCAAACAAACAAACAAAAAAACATAAAATATAAGCACCCCACCCATGCTTCTGATCCTGTCTTCCCTTTCTGGTATGGTAGTACCGGAAGAAAGGAAATCAGGAACTGGCTTGTTTCTGCAGCACTGGAGAGGACTGTGGTTTGTTGGGGAATTACGCACCTTAGCGCACTCTAAGAAAAGGAAGTAGGAAGCTTGTCTCTGAAGGCACAGCTTGCCCCATTAAGTTGGTTCATGGAGACCCATCCCTATCCCTTACAACTTCTCACTCAAGAATAAGCTACTCAGTCAAAACAGTGGCCAGAATCTGACTAACCATAGTCCAGGAGGAATGACTATTAATTTTATTTCCCAAAGCATTCATACTGAGATAAAAATTCTCAAGAAAAGCTCTTACCTTGAGAGTAAGGATGAAGATTCAATGTGACATTTGGGGCATTTTATTTTTATCTTTATGTTCAAAACACCAAAATAAATAAGACTTGTTTCAATTTTAAATCATTTGTGCAAAGATGGCTTAACTTGGTTTTTTGAAAAAGCAGAAGAGGTAGGAAAGGATTGAGATAAACTGTCGTTGATTTCTCAAGCCAACCCAGAAACCAATAATCAATTTCCTTTGAAGGCTGTGTACATACCAACAATATGTCAAATTATATTCTCCTTCATTCAAATACCACGACTGTTTTTTTGTCCCCTGTGTGATCGAATTATCTTATTTCTATGAAAGAAGAAGCATTTATCTTCTAATCACATCACCAAAATTTTTCGGGTTGAATAGATTTTATCTCAATCTTGTTAAAGGCTTTCTTTTTTTTTCAGAACCACTGACTGCCTACAGACACAGAAACCAAATTGTCTGGGCTTGAATTCAGTGCCACGACTTGGGAAAGTCATTGAATTATGCGTGTGTCTTGATTTCCCCATTGTACAATGGTAATAATAGTAATCCTACTGTTGGGACTGATGAGAGGGATTCAGTTTATATGAGTATACTTAGAACAGTGACTTCTAATGTACTTAGATCAGTGACTTCCACAAAATATGCTGTAATTAGTGTTATATATTATTTTTACTTGTTGTTGTTATTCATGTCTCTTTCATTCTAGGCCCATTCCAGAGCCATCATTCTTGAATACTTTTCTTGGCATTCCTAGAACAACTGCACTATTGCACATGTTCCTCTTAGTTTCTCCCATCATGTTTGCTGGAGTACAGCCACAAATAAATTTCTTAGAAAGAATGACTCAGATAACATTTCTATTTTCTTGTCTGAAAAATGACTGTATTGTGCTGTGAAACTTTAATGCTGAGTGGCTGGAAATACTGGTATACAATTATTTTCTATTAAAACTTAGAAGACACTGCTTCTTTGTCCTCACTCATACTACATTAGTGATCAAAGTCTAGTGCTACTTGAATAGTTGTACATTTATTAGTGACATGTCATTTTTCTCTGGAAACATTTTTACAATCTCTTGGAATTTTTTAAAACTTTTTCCACTGAAAGTTTAGAAGGTTTATCAATATATGGGCCTTTCTTCATTTTTTTTCTATAGGCCCTTGGAGGGCTATGCAATCTAATGATTTTTTACTTTCTTCAACAATGAGAAATTAATTCAAATATTTATTATGAAATATTTTTATCCATTTTTCTGATATTTTTATTAATGTATTTTCTTCTTTTAAAAATTTATTTATGAAGGAAAGAGGTTTAATTGGTTCATAGTTCCACATGGCTGGGGAGTCCTCACAATCATGGCAGAAGGCAAAGAAGGAGAAAAGTCATGTCTTACATGGTGTACAGAAGAAGTGCAGGGGAGCTCCCCTTTATAAAACCATCAGATATTGTGAGACTTATTCACTATCATGAGAACAGCATGGGAAAAACCAACCCCCATGATTCAATTACCTTCCACCAGGTCTCTCCCACACATGTGGGAATTATTGGAGCTAAAAGTCAGGATGAGATTTGGGTAGGGACACAGCCAAACCATATCATTCCGCCCCTGGCCCCTCCCAAATCTCACGTCCTCACATTTCAAAAGATGGCTTCCTAACAGTCCCCTAAAGTCATAACTCATTTCAGCATTAACGCAAAAACCCACAGTCTAAAGTCTCATCTAAGACAAGGCAATTCCCTTCCACCTATGAGTCTGTAAAATCAAAAACAACCTCCTGGATTAATTTTCTATGAATTTTTATCTCTTTTCTCTCAGTTTTTGAATTTTGCATTCTGCCAGACTTATATTTGGGTATATGTGTTATGTGTGTGTATTTCTTTTATTTCAAAGGGCTTTTTCCTGGTCTCTAAATGTTGCCTGTTTATAGCATTTGATTCTTACTTTATAAATTTGTCTTTACATATCAATCATAATTTTTAAATTCTCTTCTAATTCCTGAGTTACCTTTGTAATTTTTGGTCTTTTGAATTAGCTATTCTGTTAGTTTTTCACCTTATTGCTGTTAATTTTCTTCATTTGCTGAATTATCCTTAACCATTTATTTCTATTTTAACAATTAGAAATTGGGTTAATCTAAATATTATGTATGAATTTCCTCCACCGTTGTACATGTAAGTCCTTTTCCCTAATCAGTTGCCTCTTTTTTTAAAATTTTATTATTATTATACTTTAAGTTTTAGGGTACATGTGCACAATGTGCAGGTTTGTTACATATGTATACATGTGCCATGTTGGTATGCTGCACCCATTAACTCGTCATTTAGCATTAGGTATATCTCCTAATGCTATCCCTCCCCCTCCCCCCACCCCACAACAGTCCCCGGAGTGTGATGTTCCCCTTCCTGTGTCCAAGTGTTCTCATTGTTCAATTCCCACCTATGAGTGAGAACATGCAGTGTCTGGTTTTTTGTCTTTGCGATAGTTTGCTGAGAATGATGGTTTCCGGTTTCATCCATGTCCCTACAAAGGACATGAACTCATCATTTTTTATGGCTGCATAGTATTCCATGGTGTATATGTGCCACATTTTCTTAATCCAGTCTATCGTTGTTGGACATTTGGGTTGGTTCCAAGTCTTTGCTATTGTACATGGATGCAAAAATCCTCAATGAAATACTGGCAAACCGAATCCAGCAGCACATCAAAAAGCTTATCCACCATGATCAAGTGGGCTTCATCCCTGGGATGCAAGGCTGGTTCAACATACGCAAATCAGTAAATGTAATCCAGCATATAAACAGAACCAAAGACAAAAACCACATGATTATCTCAATAGATGCAGAAAAGGCCTTTGACAAAATTCAACAATGCTTCATGCTAAAAACTCTCAATAAATTAGGTATTGATGGGATGTATCTCAAAATAATATGAGCTATCTATGACAAACCCACAGCCAATATCATACTGAATAGGCAAAAACTGGAAGCATTCCCTTTGAAAACTGGCATAAGACAGGGATGCCCTCTCTCACCACTCCTATTCAACACAGTGTTGGAAGTTCTGGCCAGGGCAATTAGGCAGGAGAAGGAAATAAAGGGTATTCAATTAGGAAAAGAGGAAGTCAAATTGTCCCTGTTTGCAGATGACATGATTGTATATCTAGAAAACCCTAATGTCTCAGCCCAAAATATCCTTAAACTGATAAGCAACTTCAGCAGTCTCAGGATATAAAATCAATGTACAAAAATCACAAGCATTCTTATACACCAACAACAGACAAACAGAGAGCCAAATCATGAGTGAACTCCCATTCACAATTGCTTCAAAGAGAATAAAATATCTAGGAATCGAACTTAAAAGGGATGTGAAGGACCTCTTCAAGGAGAACTACAAACCACTGCTCAAGGAAATAAAAGAGGATACAAACAAATAGAAGAACATTCCATGCTCATGGGTAGGAAGAATCAATATCGTGAAAATGGCCATACTGCCCAAGGTAATTTATAGATTCAATGCCATCCCCATCAAGCTACCAATGACTTTCTTCACAGAATCGGAAAAAACTACTTTAAAGTTCATATGGAACCAACAAAGAGCCCGCATCGCCAAGTCAATCCTAAGCCAAAAGAACAAAGCTGGAGGCATCACACTACCTGACTTCAAACTATACTACAAGGTTACAGTAACCAAAACAGCATGGTACTGGTACCGAAACAGAGATATAGATCAATGGAACAGAACAGAGCCCTCAGAAATAATGCCCCATATCTACAACTATCTGATCTTTGACAAATCTGACAAAAACAAGCAATGGGGAAAGGATTTTCTATTTAATAAATGGTGCTGGGAAAACTGGCTAGCCATATGTGGAAAGCTGAAACTGGATCCCTTCCTTACACCTTATACAAAAATTGATTCAAGATGGTTTCAAGACTTACATGTTAGACCTAAAACCATAGAAACCCTAGAAGAAAACCTAGGCAATACCATTTCAGAGACCTAGACATTTAAAGATAATATGGCTAAGAAAGAGCAGAAATTTTATGTTTCCATATGTGGGAAAACATTCTTCTTCTGTTTTGAAAAGCAAAATTTCATCTCACTTGAATGATGGTAATTGCAACAACAAACATATTAATAAAATTATGCTCATTTTCTTTAATTTTCATCCTGTCCAATATGATTTTACCACTTTCCATATACAACTTGTTTATTTTTAAGTACAGTTACTACTCCAACTTGCTCAATTGCATCTAAACTTTAAAAAATAAGCAAAACCCCATATTATTTTGGTATTAATATCAAATATTTATATAATATTTTACTTTATTATAATCTTTCACAGGTACCATGTTATTTGAACCTCATATAGATGATATAGAGTACCTAAAGGAAAAGATTATTATCCTAATCTTACACACATGGGAATAAATATTCAGAGAGATTCAGTCACTTTCCCAAGCTAGTAAGTGAAATCGCACAATCTGATGGTTTCCAGACCTAAAGCTAGAGATCTCTGAGCAGTGTGTTCCAATAATTTTATCTCCTCAGGTTTTAGGCTGCCAGGCAGAGTTTATGTGCCATTAATCATCTAGCCAGTTGTCTTTATCTGCGAGAAACCTCATTCTTTAGACCTGTGGGCCATATACATATCGTCATTTTTACATGTATCCCTTAATAGAAACATAGTTGGAAAGTATTGCTACAGGCCACCAGTGTCTCCTAGAGACATTTACCTAAATAAGTGTTCTCTATTCTAAACACATCCTGATATTAAGTTATTAAATCTTATCATGTGGCCTTACCTAAAGTGCATTTCTCTCTTTAGATCATATACCAATTCTTGACCACATATCTCTTACTATATTTCAACAAGAAACAGCTAAAGAAATATCTCTGTATATACTTCAGGAAGATAGAGAAATAAATGGATTAATGGATGAATAGATATATGATAGATAGATAGATAGATAGACAGATGATAGATACTTGTAGATACAGACTATGCTTGATGCTCTAAATCCAAATAAGTGTCCAATTAATTAGCTATTTTCTTCTCAAGTTGAAGTTCAACATGCCTTTGGATGCTATGGCAATAATTAAGGTTCTAATACACTCAATAAAAGTAACAAAAATGTAACTTTTGAATATTGCTTTACTATTCACAATCTGCTGGGTACTTTTATATGTGTTTTCTCTTTTAAGTTTTCACAATAATTTTGTGAATTATCCATTATTCCATGATTATCCCTAAGTTTCAAATGAGAAAGTGTTTATTTGTTAGATATAGTTCCTTTTACAATTACTTTAAGTTCATTATCAGCCTAGAACTTCCTAAATGTTCTGAGGAATGATCCTGACTAGCCATCTCATTTCTGCTAAACAAATCCTTCCACTAATGTTTATTATTTGGTCTCCTTGTAATAACTAACAAAATTCTTAGAATGTAATGTTTTCTCTTTCTTGACTAACATATCCTGAGACTAAATGAGTTATTCAGCTATCCTGAGCTAGGGTTATTAGTTCCACCTACATCCTCAAACTTTCAGAATCCTCATCTCCACCTAAAGTAAAGGATTTAAAAATAGACCACAGTTTTCAATATAAAATTTTCTTAAAAACACAGAACTATTAAAAGACATAATTCCTACCAAGGAGAAAAGATGGTCATTTCATCACACAAATCCTTTATAATTGGTATCTCTCCATTGGCAGTGCATTTGCTAGTAATCCCCTTAAGATTAGAGGGTGACAAACTCACAGCAGTGCAGAAGGAGCACACAGTAACAAATGGGAATCGTGAGGACAGAAAATCACATGACTAGAACAGATTCAGAATCCTGGGCTGCTTTATCTACCACCCGACATTCTGCCTTTCAGCAAAAATAGTGCCATAATGTGCTCCACAGGCCCAAAGTCAAACTCAATCCCCATTCTCACATAAATATTTCATATTAAAGAAACTGTTTCAGAGCCTCAGAGCCCACACAAGCTTGTTTCAAAATGACAGATGACCCTCTGCCCTACGGAGACCGATTTCACTGACTACCTCAGTGTAAGTTTTGGAAAGAGTATCCTGTGATGAATTTCAGCAACAACAGTTATTCTGCTGTTCACAAGCCTAACAGCCAGGCAGCAATGAAGAGCCTTGACACCAAATTCCTAGCCTTAGGTTCAGCAGTCAGGACAGCAATCTCCTTGAATGTCTGGTAGACACTTCCCCGCCTTAGTGCTTGATATGTGGCAGATTATTAACTTCAGAATTGTCAGAATGACAAACAAGGGGAAAGCACACTCTGAAGAGTGCTTGATATTAGGAATGCCTTGTTTTTAATGTTAGTCAGGGACTTTAAAAAGCTTATATTCTAACTGACCATTATATTAAAGTTAACAATGCTGACCTAAAAACACCAATAGTCTCGTCAGTTCTTTACCAAAATGTCTGTATTCTTGGACAGACACCAAAAGCCTTTCATCTTTATAAACTTCCAGCATTCCTAGATCCAACAGCAGACATATTTCCACTCTTTATTCTACCAGGTCCAAAATAACAGAAAAGTAGTGGAAAGAGAGATGGCAATGGGTTGGTATTTACAAAGCATTTTCCTGTTTTATCCATCCATTCATTTATTCAGTTAATCATCAGTATTTATTGGGCATCCATTATATGTTAGTCAGTGGTATGGCTATGGAGTGGTAAGATAAAATCAAGTTCTATGAGCAGATCCAAGTCTAGTGGGGTTATAGGGAGAGGGGGAGAGAGAGAGAGAGAGAGAGAGAGTGTGTGTGTGTGTGTGTGTGTGTGTAAAATAGTATTAATAGGTAACCATGAGCCAGATATAATGTAGAACTTCATGGCCATAAAATAAAAAAAAATATATTCATATACTTTTCTAAGTTTGATTAGAAGCTAAAGAAAACATCTGAGCAGGAAAAGAACATGATCAGATTTACTCTGTAGACATATCCCTTTGGCTTCACTGTGAAGAATGTGAGAAAATACAGAAGTAGAGCAACCAGTTGGGAGTTCAAGACAAGTGTTGGAACGAACTGAAGGTATTTAAGACTAGGGTAAGATTGTCAAGGGGGTTAAAAATTTACCAATTTTGAACAATTTTGAAGTTAGATCTAAGAAAAGTGAACGTGGGGCTTGAGAAAACAATCCAGAAAAGCTCTTAAATTTCTCTAAACAGCTGGATGGCTGGTGCTACATGCTGAAATCAGGAGAACTTAAGGGATGGCAGCAACTAAGAGTTCTATATTAGGTCTAGAATTATGAATGCCTTGTAGACATGCAGTAGAATTATTACATTGGCAGTTGGATATACAGATCCGAGAGAGGTTCAGGATGAAGCTGCAAATTGAAGATTCATCCATCTACCATATAGGTGATATTTAAATCTATGAGATTAAGTAAAATCAGTTATGGGGTGAGAGTAGACAGAGAAGTGAAGTCTAAGGGTTTAACTTTGGAGCAGTTAGTCAGAAATGCTAAGTGAAGAGGCTGATTCATGAAAGGAGACTAAGTCATGAGTAAAATAAGAGGAAAATCAGGATAGTGTTTTTTTGTTCATATTCACTTTGGCTGCAGGAATCATTTTGGGGAGTGTGAGGTAGTGTTACCTCCAATAAGAAGTGACCACAGTTCATCTAGTCTAAGATGGCCTTTGTTTTCCACATTTACATCACTGATATCAGCATGCATCTTGTAATACTGGTGTCTTCAGATTGTGTCACAATTTAATTGGCAGAGTTTTTAATGCTGGTACATAAAATAATAGTGCATTTTGTAATTTGTATACAAATTTTATTGGATCTAATTCTTTTGGATCTATTTCTTTTAGATCTAATTCTTTTAGATCCAATGAAATTTAATAAGATGACTATACAACACAGCACAAACACAGGTTAGAGATATTTCTCTCTTTCTCTGTTTCTCACTGTCTCTTGTCTCTTTCTCCATTACCATTACCATATTTAATTATTTGAATACTTAAGGATTCTTGAGAATTTCTTAAGAGAAAATTTATTTTCCTAATCGAAAATAATAAGTAGGCAACAAATTAATGAGTTCCTACATATGATATTTGAGAAGAAGGATAAATTCCCATGGTATATTATCTGTATGTTTATCATCACATATAATACTTCATAAAGGGAGGATAAATATACAGATGTTCCTTGAATTACAGTGGGTTTACATCCCAATAAACCCATTATAAGTTGAAATATTGTAAATAAAAATGTATTTAATACACCTAAACCACCAAACACAATAGCTTAGCCTCACCTACTGTAAATGTGCCCAGAACACTTAGTAGCCTACAGTCGAGCAAAATCATCTCATGACACAGTACATTGTACAGTGTCAGTTGTTTACGCTCATGACTGTAGCTGACTGGGAGCTGAGGCTCACAACTGCTGCGTAGCATCTTAAGAATATCGTACCACATATCCCTAGCCTGGGGAAAGATCAAAATTCAAAATTTGAAATACAGTTTCTACTGAATAAATACCACTTTTGCACCATCATGAAATAGAACAATTCAAAGTCAATCCATTATAAACTGGGGATTATCTGTGTTATGCTCTGATTATAAATCCATCAAATGAAAACTTACTCTGTTATTTATCAAGCAATACATTTAAACTATTCTTATAAATTTCACAACTAAAACATATCTTGATAAAATGTTAATGATTACTTTCAATTTACTAGAAATAAAGAAAATTATGGCACATGCTAGAAAAAAACTTTTGTTCATGGTAATTTTGCAACAAAATTGTATCTTCAAATATTTAATAATTGCTCTTATAATGAAAATTGGCCTTGGAAGTGAATGTAAACTATACAGCTATCCAAAATTGTTATGTAACTGGAAGTAGTAAACAACTCATTATTTTATCAAAAAGTAGTTAGCAGTATATAGTCATTGTACATTTGTCATATACAGGAGTTGTTTTGCATTGTAACAAGCTGATATTCCTGCCTAAATTAAATATTGAAAAATTATCAGCAAAATATGTGAAGTATATGGATATGGAGAATACCAATATTTGCAACTCATTCCTGCTACCAGTAATTTTTAAATGGAGATAAATAAATAGGATACTGCTGGATTGGGGACTGTTTTATAATTTTCTTGCAGTTTGTTTTCATTAGGTTATTAAGTTGTTACTCTGTTTCAAAGTTGAGGATGAACAATTACCCTGGTTTACCATTTTGTAAACAAGTATTCATGTCAGTGACACTAAATTGTTCAGCTGCAGTAATGAGTCAAAGATCAATTAAGCACAAGACCCATAATGGATCAAGGCACAAAGATTTTTTTTTCCCCCAATCCATTTGAATTTAGAAAGAGACAGCCTGGCTTAATCTGTCTTCTGAAACGCAAGGTCAGCAGACTGGAGGATATCAGCTGCCACTCTTTTTGACATCTCCAATCAATCAACCTTGATTAGCCATGGAATTGGACTTCAGAGTTAAGAAAATTATGTTTCTCACCTCCTCTACTAATGCTTGAGATGAAAGCAAAATGCATCTTGATTTTAAATTTTAAACAAATTGTGAAGTCCAATTTTTATGTATTACTCAAGCCTTGTCTGTAAGACCCATAAATTCACAAAGTTAAAATGTATTTCAATAAAGAGCCAGACAGCTTTTTTATTTAAAAATGGAATTACATTTCTAAATTATAACATAAATATAACTTTAAATTACATATCTCACAGAATTATTTTTATCCAAACATCACATTTATTGCTACAGAGAAAGTGATTTCTAATTAGATGAAATAAAAAAAATAGTCTGCAGGGTATGTTTCCCCAATGACCATGAAAACAATTTGCATTTCAGGGATTAGAGTATATATTTTTATTAGAAGAATGACAAGGCCAAATGAAACCCAGACAATCTGACTACAAAGCCAAAGCTAAGCAGACCAATGGAAGCAAAACCATCTGGAATATTTGGCGTCATGCTCATAGAATACCCAAAATTGGAAATGGGTCACTTTGTTGAAGTTGGTGTGTGTGTGTGTGTGTGTGTGTGTGTGTGTGTGTGTGTGTGTGTGTTTGTCTAACAGGGACTCTTTGTTTTCTTTTCTTTGGTGATGTTTTCCTGGTATGCCCAGATTTGTTCTATGCAAAGGCTATGTAATTTATCTCTGAGTATGACTGCATCATCTCCTTCTTCTCTCTGCCCTCTCATCCCATTTCAGAGATTTTTTTCTACAACCTTGGCCTTGTCCTTTGTTTTGCCTAGGCCATGTTAACGTAATCCACTAACATATTTTATTTGAGTAAATCCATTTTGTTTTGCTTAAAATATTGGGTTATATGATTCAACTCTCCATTTAACACTTGTGAACAACTTGTTTTTACCATATTCTCCAGCTATAAAATGTGTGGTCTTTTGGAGTCAGTATCTGTATTGAGAAATTTAATACGCTTCATATTACTAAAAAAAAGACACACTTTCTTTCATATTTCTGCCAAGAGGTGAGATCTGTTACCTGTCCACACATGTTTCCCATTTGCTACTTAATACTATTAGAGGAGTTCCTGCTTCAAGTTTTGGGAACCTTGCTTGCCATTTCCTATGACTTCTCAATAGGTGATTTATGAAACACAACCATAGTTTGCATGTTTACAAAATGTTTATGCAGGCGTTTCTTCATGGCTTCTACATGGCAAATGAAGATTCAAATTTTCCTTGTGAATTGGTTTCTAGATTTATTGCCTATGAAGACCTGGGGAAACCCTAGACAATCTTACAGTTCCTGCTCCCTAGGATGTCTATTGAAAAGTGTACTCCTCATCTCCAATGTTGCAGACACAATAAATAAAATAAAGTGGTAAAATGATGACAAAGACACAAGTAACCTAGTATAAGTCTTGTTGTGGCTGGGAAAAGAAAAGATAAATCTTTCACATCCATATTTTTACAGGGTAATTTTCATTAAAAAATTACTTCTGGCTATAATGCTCAGATGAATTGACTAGTCAGGCTAGTGTATTATAAGTACTAAAAAAGATGAATGGAAAACAATATGGCATTGGTTATCAACGAGGGTCAAAATACAATAATCTCACTCTGGAGTGAAAAAGTAATCCAAAGATCCAAATGAGGATGACAAGTCATAGTGAGAAGCACAGGGAAGTACAGTCAAATCTACTAAGCAAAAGTCAGCAAGGGTAGCTACAGAGGTTGAATAAGTTCAAGAGAAAGGTAAAAGTGTTACAAGTTAAGATGAAGGTGCCTGGGAACACTAACTTCAATGACTTGATGGGTGCTTCTAACTCCACCTGACTGTAGCTTATAAGTTACCTTTTGGGGATTTAATAACCTATGGCCTCATAAACTACATGTATGACTATCTCACAGAGAAGATAGAGGATAATAAGAGCTGTCCAATCATTGCTTGAAGATATGTTATCAAATGTCCCTTTTTCAGATTACAGTCACTAATGTTAATTATTAAATCATTAAACATATGAAAATTTCTTTGGCAGAATAAACCATAGGCTTGGACATATAAGCGATCTTCAAAATGTTTGTGGAAAATGTGTATTATGAAAAAAGTATGTATGGATTTCCATTTTTTGCACCAAAATAAACTCCTGCTAACTTATTATGACATGTCTGAATAGAATATAGTTTGAGATACTAAGAAGAATAACACATCAATTTGAAAAGAGCCCCTATAAGAGCAACCTTAATATGCTAAAATTGAAGCAAGAACAAACATCAAATGTATGGTGAAGCTTGAGTGGATGAATGGTGAATTCATGGATTCTTTACAAAAAGTTTATGGGAACAATGCCCCATATAAATCAGCAGTTTATAGAAACTTATTTTAAGATGGGTTGAGATGATGTTGAAGATGAAGCCTACAGTGGCAAACCATCCACATCTATTTGCAAGAAAAAAATATTTGTCTGTTCTCAAATTGAATAGGACTGGCAATTCATGGCAGAAACAATAGCCAATATCATAGACATCTCCATTGTTTTAGCTTACACAATTGTGACTGAAAAATTAAAGCTGAGCAAAATTTCCACTGAATGTGTACCAAAACCATTGTACCCAGATCAACTGTAGACAAGAGCAGAGTTTTCAATGGAAATTTTAAACAAGTAGGATAAAGATCCTAAAGTGTTTCTTTCAAGAATTGTAACAGGAGATAAAATATGGCTTTACCAGTATGATCCTGAAGACAAAACACAATCAAAGCAATGGCTACCAAGAGGTGGACATGGTCCAGTCACAGCAAAAGTAGCCTGGTCAGGAACAAAGGTCACAGCACTGTTTATTTTGTGTGATACTCAAGGCATTTTCTTGTTGACTTTCTGAAGGACCAAAGAATGGTAACATCTGCTTATTATGAGGGTGTTTTGAGAAAGTTAGCCAAAGCTTTAGCAGAAAAATGTCCAGGACAGTCTCGCCAGAGAGTCTTTGTCCACCACAGCAATGCTTCTGCTAATTCCTCTCAGCAAACAAGGGTAATTTTGCAAGAGTTCCTACGGGAAATCATTAGGCAACCACGTCACCATTCTGATTTGGCTCCTTCTGATTTCTTTTTGGTTCCTGATGTTAAGCAATCTTTAAAGGGCATCTGTCTTTCTTTAGTTAATAATGTCAAAAAGACAGCATTGACATAGTTAACTTCCCAGGATCCTCAGTTCTTTAGAGATGCACTAAATGGCTGGTATCATCACTTATAAATGTGTATTACTCTGATGGAGTTTATATTGAAAAATAAAGTTTACGTTTTATGCTTATCTTTTATTTTGGAGTTTATATTGAAAAATAAAGTTTATTTTTATACTTATCTTTTACTTTTATTTTGTCATGAGCTTTTTGAAGCCCTCTTGTATATGCCTGTAAAATAGAAAATTCTATATATTGTTGTAAAAATTTATTGCATAACTCTTATATACGAACAGGAATATACCATCGAAGTGGGGCACAGAAATAGAAAGATAAAATGCATAGTACTTTTCAAGAGCTTATAATATATGGTGGGAGGCAGAAAAAGCTATAACCATTCAAATAGTTACTAAGTTATTTATTGTGATAACTTTGGGGATGCATGTGATAAGCACCTACTGTAGGCAGAATAAAACATCACACTAGATAATATCAAAGAAATAATGTGTGTGCAAGAATAATGCATGGCAAAACACGTTCAAAGTCATGAGAGTTGTGTCTTTGGACAGACATAGGAGGAAGAAATCTCACTTCATTAGAGATTAAGGAAATCTGGTTTATAAAGGCTGGATGAAATAGAGAGAAAACCAAATAAGATGAACAGTAGGAGGTATAAAGAAGCAGATAAGCTGAATAATACCAGATGTGTTTAGAGGTGGTAGTATCTTAGTTTAACTGGAGCACAGAATATGTGTTCAGAAAGAGAAGGAGGTGGGTATAGAATTAAAAGTGGAGAAAATCAATATTTTTGTGAGCCTTCAACATTCTGGCCATGCGGTATACAAATTTACGTAAATTACTTCATTTATCTTCCCAACCATACTATCAAGATAGGCATAATCATCACCAACTTAAAGATGAGGATTTTAAAAGACCCAGAGCTACTATAACTTAATTTAGATCACACAGATGTTTAGTGGGAAAACTAGAATTTGAAATCATGTGTATTTCGTTCTTTTCATGACAACATATTGCCTCACGCAAAAGTCAGATGAGACTAAAACACAAAACTATCTGTTTTTAATCAGGTTCCTGGGTTTGTGACAATTTATGTAATAAATTTTCTTTAATAGTGATTTAAGAAACTCTAATCAAATTTTTTTCACACTATTCGTCTCATTCATCATATGTTCTCATCTCTAATAAGAAAGTGCAAATAAAAATTACTTGTCTTTTTTCCTACCAGAATCAGAATTAAAATGTAGTAAGTTCTGTTTCAAAGCTTGGAATAGTGTGAGGTAGAGATAGACCTATAATCTGTAGTGTTTTGTCAAAATCAGTGGCAGGCATGACGTTAATCATTTTTCAATAATATGTTAATTCATGGAAATTGCCTAACAGTATTATATTATTGAAAGGAAAATAGCAATTCTACATGAATTTGAGCTATTTACCAAGTTTCTTTACCCTAGTTTTAAAAATTTGCAGAATTTCTTTTGTTTTCAGGAAACTCGTTTGGAGCCCTTCCTCATGAAGATTAAATAATTAAAGTATGAGAAAGTGGAGAGCCCAATGTGCGACATATGTATATTATTAAATGTATACTAATTTATTTATTCATTCATGCATATGATTTAATTACATTTTATTAATGGAAACAAATCAGCTATGGGAGCTAATTTAGATGCCAAAATATTGCCCGTGATACTCACTGAATGAATTTGTCACCTCCTCACAAAATGTAAATTTGTTTTCAGATAACACATTATAATCTAAAGTGGTGAAAGGCAGGATAATTTCTTTTTAACTTGCCTTATAAGAACAACACCAACAGTGAATAGACACTAAATATTCTTGGCAAAGAAAACTAATTAAGACCCCTTTTCCCATTCAACTCTCCAAATACATAGCCCATTGCCTTAATTTTTTATTATATATATATATTTTGCTATACATAATTTTCATTTGGTGCATTTTATTTACTACTGACCACTCTCAAAACCATTGCTGTGTCTGAGAATCAATAGGAATATTGAGACTAAACAAAACTCTAAAATAGTAAAGTAATTCTTGGAGTAGTTGCAGTAATAAGAACATAATTTTGGTAAAAATATGTTACGTAGCCTGAGTTTTCTAAAATCAGAAACAGAAGGGTGTATGTTGCACAGGTAATTTACTAAGGAGAAACCCAATAGGCAGTAGGGAAGCAGTCCTGGATAGGGAAAGCAACTTGGTGAAGTTGGAAGCAGTACTGGATAGAGGAAGCAACTTGGTGAGGAGTCAGTGACAGTCTAGCCACACCCTGGTCCCAGGGGATCTCTGGAGAATGAATAGCTCCACAGAGTGCCCTGATTTAAGGCAAGGTGGCAAGACTTGTACAGTCATTGACCCAGGAGGGTGTAACCCCTCAAGAATCTCCGGGGAAGGTGATTTCTGTCAATCTAGACCAGTTGTTATTAATGTGTGGTCCCAAGACCAGCAGGGTCAGCATCACCTGAGAATTTGTAAGACATGACACATACTACATCAGAAACTCTGGAAGTGGGGCCAACCGATTTGTGATTGCATAGGCTCTCCAGGTGACTCTGATGTATCTTGAAGTTTGAGAACCACTGGCCTAGGGCAATCTTCCAGAGAATGACAAAGCTGTGAGCTCCTAGCATCCAGTCCTCACAGCATTAAATGCTGACTTAACAACTCTGTGAAGGAAGTCCAGATCAGCCACCAACAGCACCCACTACATGTTAAATGCTTTAGTTGTATTATAGTAAATCATCCCTCTCTTGTATTAACTATTTGTAGCTTCTGTAAACTTGATAATTTAACATCTGCCCTATGCTAGTGTCCAGAAGACTCTTTGTTCTGGACAATCCAATAGTATGTCTAAATCACCTTGCTTTGGCTTCCTACCTCACTCCTCACCCCTCCCTTCCTCCTTCTGGGAGGGCACTTTTCAAATACAAACCAGCTACTCCAGAGTTCACTCTCGATCACCTCATTTATTGTACTCTCACATCTGCTCTAATCACCCCCACAGCAAGGGAACTGGACAACTAGAAATACCTCCTTTGTTCTAGAGCCCACTGAAATTATTTTAACCAGCCAATCCTAAATCTATTTATGCTGTCTCACCTATTCTTTCCCACCAAAACAATAATAAAGTCCTCTGCCTTAAAGCTCCTTCCCATCCCTCTGCTGCATGACCAACCTCTGATGTATTCCCCCCATGACGTAACACACCTCCTGCTTTAAGAAACTGTGAGTAATAAACTATCTTTTCAATGGCAATTGTTTTCTGATCTGTTGGACTTACCGTATCTCAAATTTTCTATTAATTCACTATATTTTCAAATCTATCTCTACCACAATCCACTCCCTTGTGGTGCACACAAGATTCATACCCAGGAGGTATGAAGAGTTATACCAGTGTGTGTGATTCCATTACCTCCACTGGTTTGGAGTTAAAATTTCAATTTCGGGCAGTTAGAGGAAGAGAGATTCCAAAGAGAATATAAAATTATACCTCATACGATTTCTTATAATGTGAATCCCCCTTTTATTTTAAACAAGCATAATCAAAGTTCACACAAAGATAGGGAAAGTATTTGCATTTACCACATAAGAGTTGGCCTAGAGAAGAAATTCAACTGTCCTCTGTGCCAGAATTTACATAGATTTTCCTTTGAAGCATCACACTTCAGTTGCAAACTCCCTTTGTGCTCACATGCAGAACACAGTTTTAATTTTATTATAAAGACTGTAATATGTATACTTTTTGTCAAAACAAACAATTATGTGCTCTTTGTTTTCACGGTGTGAATGGTTATGCCAAGGCTGACACTTTGGGTGACAAATAATAATAAATATTAAACACAAGTACCAATGTAAAAGGAGTGTAATTATGTAATGAAGCTATTTTCCCACAATAACTAACGTGACATGCATCCTTTGGCATTGATTTGCATTGGATATTTCTACAAATTGCCCAGAGTCAGCAACATTGCTTTATTATGTGCTAATACTTGTTCATGAATATATGTTTCAATTTTGAGTAAAGATTTTTTTTTATCAAAGACTTTAAATTCAAAAGTGTGAACACAGTCCCAGCTCTAGTGACCTTGTCTTTCAGGTATTCTCTGGTGTGCCAACTGAGAAAATTGCAGGAGATACATTCATCTTCATCATGTGTGTTTGATAGCAGTTATTGAATTTTTAAAATTAAATAGTTTGCAGCCTATTTTAGAGTCCAAAATTTTCTGTTAAATTTTCTATCTTATGAGTGATTTATCTGTAGGTCCAAAACAGTAGAGGCTATAAAGCTGTGGCCCAAAAGATTCTTGCTCTGTGAATAGATTAAAAGGTTTTTATCTCACTAGAAGAAAAGCTAACGCTTTACACAGATGCCAAAATCCAATGGTGTGCAATATGCACAAGTTATATCATCTTCAGTGGTCAAAGCTTGGCTAGAGACTGATGTCAGCCTCCTTTGTGAAATATTCCTTGAAAAACAGAGGTTTTAGCTACTTGAGGATTACAAGTCAC
This sequence comes from Homo sapiens, assembly GCF_000001405.40. Taxonomy (NCBI): domain Eukaryota; kingdom Metazoa; phylum Chordata; class Mammalia; order Primates; family Hominidae; genus Homo; species Homo sapiens. The sequence continues at coordinate 89,519,873 of NC_000007.14, forward strand.
TACTAGCATAATTCAAAATTTAATTCTACTCCTGATTTTATCAGGACAAGGAAGAATAAGGTTTAAAGTTTACAGGGCCAATATCTTAGCTTTTAACATAGAGGAATATTTGATGAGCTTATCATCACCTAGCAAGCCTATCCCATGCTGTGATGATATAAAGGAAGCTGATATTCTATGTCACATAGTTTCATTTATAAGACTTAGTTTATACTAGGAGAAAAAAGATTAAGAAATACAATTCAAAACCCACAGCATTTTAAATGTATTATTTTCCCCCAATTGTAAACTTTTTAGCATAGAAAATTGCTTTTTATACTAGGAGCTCATGATTTATTGTGTCATAACCCCCCTAACCTATTCAATCAGATATAATGACAATTGTGGTAAAAACAAGGATAATGGTAATTACAATATTAATAATATAGCTGCAATTTCATAAGTGTTTATAGGTGTCAAAATTGTTCTAAATGCTTTGGATATACGCATTATCATTAGAACAATCTCATTAGGTTCATTTTCCAGATGAATCTGAGATGAGCGCCTAAACCTATATATGGGACTCTGGAATAAGCAGATTGGATTCAAATCCAGGCTCTGCCACTGACAAGGTGGATAACCATGGGAACATTACTTGATCTCTGACACACATTAATTGAACTGTAAATAGCTGACCATTTAAAAGACCCTTAAAGTGAAGCCTCTTTATAATATGAATAGTATTTCTAACATGAACTGTCAGCTTTACTTCTGAAATGTGTTTTGATTTGGTTTCCTCCTACCCACATTCACAGTTGTTTTATGAGTCTGTAACTTCATCTATCTCACCTAGACAAAACTTATTCTCTTCCTCTACTACCAGTGGTGTTTTAGAACAAGCTGTACCGGCTCATAAAATTACAATTGTTAAAATTCAGGAATTCTGAAATCTGGTTATTAAACAATTGGCAATTTGAAATCAGCCACAGTGGGAGTGTTTACACCAGAGAAATCTGTAAATTCTACAAATCTGTGCTTTTCCTTCTCCCCATCGCCTGCTGGAGATCCAGTTTACCAGCAAATTAATCCTACTCTGCTAGCCTAGTAATATTCAAAAGCACACATCTGGTCACTTTTTTACATACTGTACTTCTACTGACTTCCCAGTTCCTGGAACCCAAATTACTTAAAATTACTTGTAATCATTTTCATAACTTAATAATAGGCAATCTTCCCAGCTACTCCAACTCTCATTTCTTTCATCAAACAACAAATGTATACTATGTTACAATAACTCTTGACTTCTTAACATTCCCCAAATGTATTATGAACTCTGCACATATTGTCATTCATAGTTTCATTTGCCTAGAATTGTCTTCATATGATGTATATTAGGATATTTCTTCCTTGTTCTTCATGATTCAATTTTGTTTTCTAATCTGTATAACTTCCCTAAATCCTTTCTCACTTCAGGAAAAAAGAAATTCCTCCCTCTGCTCTTTTTAATAGCACATTTGTAAATGTGAACCTTAAACTTATCACCTTAATTTATATTTGCCTAGGTGTCTAGCTAAACAGATCCAGGATGTGAGACTGTGGCTTATTACCTAGAGTATAGTAGGCGCTTATCAGAGAAAAAGTTCTCTTTAGGTAGTTAGCAGGTAAGGAAAACTCTACTCAAGACTATTGCAATAGGAGTCAAGACTACTGCAATAGGGTAGACAGACTGAACTGAACCCTTCTAAAACAAAAGATAGGAGAGCCTTTAAGCATTGAGGTGATCTAGGGGAAAAGTGCTGGAGGACCTTGCGGAAGCAGTGTTGGTCATTGTGATTAGGCCACCTGTGTTTGCTAATTGTATTATCAAAGTTAGGCTTCTACCCTTTCACAGAAACAGGTATGGAGGCTCTATCTTTCTTAATGATTATATTTGAAAGAAATGGCTCCCAGATCCTTGAGAAAGAAATTCCTGATTTGTAAAACACACAAGAGCCCAGCAAAGATTTGCTTCTCAAAGGGACAGAGAAAGAATTTACAATTTCAGATTTTCTAAAGTAAATACTCTAAAAAAGGGAGATCAGGGACCTAAAGTCAGAAAGAAACCAGTTTATGCCAGGCTTTGGTATCAGGATGATGCTGGCCTCATAAAATGAGTTAGGGAGGATTCCCTCTTTTTCCATTGAGTGGAATAGTTTCAGAAGGAATGGTACCAGCTCCTCTTGTACCTCTGGTAGAATTCGTCTGTGAATCCGTCTGGTCCTGGACTTTTTTTGGTTGGTAAGCTACTAATTATTGCCTCAATTTCAGAGTTTGTTATTGGTCTATTCAGACATTCAACTTCTTCCTGGTTTAGTCTTGGGAGGGTGTATGTGTCCAGGAATTTATCCATTTCTTCTAGATTTTCTAGTTTATTTGCGTAGAGGTGTTTATAGTATTCTCTGATGGTAGTCTGTATTTTTGTGGGATCGGTGGTGATATCCCCTTTATCATTTTTTATTGCATCTATTTGATTCTTCTCTCTTTTCTTCTTTATTAGTCTTGCTAGTGGTCTATCAATTTTGTTGATCTTTTCAAAAAACGAGCTCCTGGATTCATTGATTTTTTGAAGGGTTTTTTGTGTCTCTGTCTCCTTGTGCTTGTCTGATCTTAGTATTTCTTGCCTTCTGCTAGCTTTTGAATGTATTTGCCCTTGCTTCTCTAGTTATTTTAATTGTGATGTTAGGGTGTCAATTTTAGATCTTTCCTGCTTTCTCTTGTGGGCATTTAGTGCTATAAATTTCCCTCTACACACTGCTTTAAATGTGTCCCAGAGACTCTGGTATGTTGTATCTTTGTTCTCATTGGTTTCAAAGAACATCTTTATTTCGGCCTTCATTTCGTTTTGTACCCAGTATCATTCAGGAGCAGGTTGTTCAGTTTCCATGTAGTTGAGCGGTTTTGAGTGAGTTTCTGAATCCTGAGTTCTAGTTTGATTGCACTGTGGTCTGAGAGACAGTTTGTTATAATTTCTGTTCTTTTACATTTGCTGAGGAGTGTGCTTTATTTCCAACTATGTGGTCAATTTTGGAATAAGTGTGATGTGGTGCTGAGAAGAATGTATATTCTGTTGATTTGGGATGGAGAGTTCTGTAGATATCTATTAGGTTTGCTTGGTGCAGAGCTGAGTTCAATTCCTGGATATTCTTGTTAACTTTCTGTCTCGTGGATCTGTCTAATGTTGACAGTGGGGTGTTAAAGTCTCCCATTATTATTGTGTGGGAGTCTAAGTCTCTTTGTAGGTCTCTAAGGATGTGCTTTATGAATCTGGATGCTCCTGTATTGGGTGCATATATATTTAGGGTAGTTAGTTCTTCTTGTTGAATTGATCTCTTTACCATTATGAAATGCCCTTCTTTGTCTCTTTTGATCTTTATTGGTTTAAAGTCTGTTTTATCAGAAACTAGGATTGCAACCCCTGCCTTTTTTTGTTTTCCATTTGCTTGGTAGATCTTCCTCAATCCCTTTATTTTGAGCCTGCGTGTGTCATTGCACATGAGATGGGTTTCCTGAATACAGCACACTGATGGGTCTTGACTCTTTATCCAATTTGCCAGTCTGCGTCTTTTAATTGGAGCATTTAGCCCATTTACATTTAAGGTTCATATTGTTATGTGTGAATTTGCTCCTGTCATTATGATGTTAGCTGGTTATTTTGCTCGTTACTTGATGCAGTTTCTTCCTAGTCTCGATGGTCTTTACAATTCGGCATGTTTTTGCAGTGGCTGGTACCGGTTGTTCATTTCCATATTTGGTGCTTCCTTCAGGAGCTCTTGTAGGGCAGGCCTGATGGTGACAAAATCTCTCAGCATTTGCTTGTCTGTAAAGGATTTTTTTTTCTCCCTCACTTATGAAGCTCAGTTTGGCTGGATCCACAATAAAAAAAGAGAATTTTAGATCAATATCCCTGATGAACATCGATGCAAAAATCCTCAATAAAATACTGGCATACCGAATCCAGCAACACATCAAAAAGCTTATCCACCATGATTAAGTGGGCTTCATCCCTGGGATGCAAGGCTGGTTCAACATATGAAAATCAATAAATGTAATCCAGCATATAAACAGAACCAATGACAAAAACCACATGATTATCTCAATAGATGCAGAGAAGGCCTTTGACAAAATTCAACAGCCCTTCATGCTAAAAACTCTCAATAAATTAGGGATTGATGGGACGTATCTCAAAATAATAAGAGCTATCTATGGCAAACCCACAGCCAATATCATACTGAATGGGCAAAAACTGGAAGCATTCCCTTTGAAAACTGGCACAAGACAGGGATGCCCTCTCTCATCACTCCTATTCAACATAGTGTTGGAACTTCTGGCCAGGGCAATCAGGCAGGAGAAGGAAATAAAGGGTATTCAGTTAGGAAAAGAGGAAGTCAAATTGTCCTTGTTTGCAGATGGCATGATTGTATATCTAGCAAACCCCATCGTCTCAGCCCAAAGTCTCCTTAAGCTGATAAGCAACTTCAGCAAAGTCTCAGGATACAAAATCAATGTGCAAAAATCACAAGCATTCTTATACGCCAATAACAGACAAACAGAGAGCCAAGTCATGAGTGAACTCCCATTCACAATTGCTTCAAAGAGAATAAAATACCTAGGAATCGAACTTACAAGGGATGTGAAGGACCTCTTCAAGGAGAATTACAAACCACTGCTCAATGAAATAAAAGAGGATACAAACAAATGGAAGAACATTCCATGCTCATGGATAGGAAGAATCAATATTGTGAAAATGGCCATACTGCCCAAGGTAATTTATAGATTCAATGCCATCCCCATCAAGCTACCAATGACTTTCTTCACAGAATTGGAAAAAACTACTTTAAAGTTCACATGGAACCAAAAAACAGCCTGCATTGCCAAGACAATCCTAAGCCAAAAGAACAAAGCTGGAGACATCATGCTACCTGACTTCAAACTATGCTACAAGGGTACAGTAACCAAAACAGCATGGTACTGGTACCAAGACACAGATATAGACCAATGGAACAGAACAGAGGACTAAGAAATAATGTCACACATCTACAACCATCTGATCTTTGACAAACCTGACAAAAACAAGAAATGGGGAAAGGATTCCCTACCTAACAAATGGTGCTGGGAAAACTAGCTAGCCATATGTAGAAAGCTGGAACTGGATCCCTTCCTTACACCTTATATAAAAATTAATTCAAGATGGATTAAAGACTTAAACATTAGACCTAAAACCATAAAAACCCTAGAAGAAAACCTAGGCAATACCATTCAGGACATAGGCATGGGCATGGACTTCATGTCTAAAACACCAAAAGCAATGGCAACAAAAGCCAAAATTGACAAATGGGATCTAATTAAATTAAAGAGCTTCTGCACAGCAAAATAAACTACCATCAGAGTGAACAGGCAACCTACAGAATGGGAGAACATTTTTGCAATCTACTCATCTGAGAAAGAGCTAATATTCAGAGTCTACAAAGAACTCAAACAAATTTACAAGAAATCAACAAACAACCCCATCAACAACTGGGCAAAGGATATGAACAGACATTTCTCAAAAGAAGACATTTATGCAGCCAAAAGACACATGAAAAAATGCTCATCATCACTGGCCATCAGAGAAATGCAAATCAAAACCACAATGAGATACCATCTCACACCAGTCAGAATGGCGATCATTAAAAAGTCAGGAAACAACAGGTGCTGGAGAGGAGTGGAGAAATAGGAACATTTTTACACTGTTGGTGGGACTGTAAACTAGTTCAACCATTGTGGAAGTCAGTGTGGCGATTCCTCAGGGATCTAGAACTAGAAATACCATTTGACCCAGCCATCCCATTACTGGGTATATACCCAAAGGATTATAAATCATGCTGCTATAGAGACACATGCACATGTATGTTTACTGCGGCACTATTCACAATAGCCAAGAGTTGGAACCAACCCAAATGTCCAACAATGATAGACTGTATTAAGAAAATGTGGCACATATACACCATGGAATACTATGCAGCCATAAAAAATGATGAGTTCATGTCCTTTGTAGGGACATGGATGAAGCTGGAAACCATTATTCTCAGCAAACTATCGCAAGAACAAAAAAACCAAACACCGCATGTTGTTACTTGTAGGTGGGAATTGAACAATGAGAACACATGGACACAGGAAGGGGAACACCATACCCTGGGGCCTGTTGCCGGGTGGGGGGAGGGGGGAGGGATAGCATTAGGAGATATATCTAATGTAAATGACAAGCTAATGGGTACAGCACACCAACATGGCACATGTATACATATGTAACAAACCTGCACATTGTGCACATGTACCCTAAAACTTAAAGTATTAAAAAAAAAAAAAAAGAAACCAGTTTACAGTTAAACTAAGGGGAACTTTAAGGCCATCTTGGTCATGTTTGACAAATGTCTTAAGAATTGTTTGTGTTTGTCACCAGTGATGTGAATCCCATTAGTTATATGCATTCTAAAATCATTTATGGCTAAAAGCAATTAATACTTTGACCTTTCTATATAGACATACTAAGCATATAAATGGTGACTACCGATTGTTGTTATCTTGGGAATATTTTTATAGTAGTCTACCTAAATCTATGTTCCTACAAAGCTGTGTGCATAAAAAAATTGTATTAACAAAACCATATTTTAAATGTTGTGAAATAGTTGAGTATTTAAAGAACCCTTAAAGAGAAGACTGTACATATTTTGTATAATACCACAAAATTAAATGTTTTATAAAAATTTATTTCCTAATCTGGTTCCCCTTTTAAAAGTAAGTTATTTTTGGTGTTTTGGGGATAATCTCTTCCTTGATCGCAGTTCTAGTTACACAGGTGTTTAGTAATTCACTGAGATGCACCTTTATATATCACTTTTCTCATATATATTTCAAGATAATCATTTTTCTATATATCTATTATCCTTTGGTAAAAGAAGATATACAACCAGTGATATGAGATTTGAAATTACAGTTTCTGCATTAGACGCCTAAGGCAAATTGCTTAATTGCTCTGTGTCTTAGTTCCTGCATCTATAATGTAATGTCATTTACCTAAACTACTAGTTAACATAAATCAAAAGGGATCATATATGGAAAGTATACTACATAAAACTCTAAGTTAAACAAATGTGAGTTTTATGAATATATTAATATTTATAACATTATTGTTATTGTTATAATGTGTTGACATGTTTGTATTTATAATATAATATTTTATTTAGAGTTCCTTAATTGCTCACATGACCCTGAGTGGAAAATGATTAATACACTGTGCAATTTGTTTATGCTAAATTTATTTATTTTTGCCTTTGTTAATAAGTTTTTACACCTGGTCTTAACATAGAGATTTTTGTTTTTGAAAAATAAATTGTTTTTTCCAAATTTTCAATGTTTTAGATAAAAACTTTCAAATATAGAACAAAGTGGAAAAAAATTTGCAGTAATCCTCTGTATCTACCACCTACATTCTCCCATTTTCTATTGCTTTTTTCATATAGGTAATTTCTTTACATGGAGTACAATTCACCTATGTAAGTGTACAGCCTTAAGAGTTTTGACACACAAATACATTTGCATAACTACCACCAAAATGAAGATATGTATTTTCATTTTCATTTTCCCAAACGGTTATCAAATGCCAGTTGGTAATCATTTCCTTCCCCTACTTCCAGCTCCTAGCAACCTCAGATATGATTTCTTTTCCCTTGAAAGTTTTTGTTTCTTTGAAAGTATTAGTTTTCCTAAATTGACAAACGAAAATAGCATATATTTATGGTGATGTGATATTGTATGTTTGTGTGTGTGTGTGTGTATATATATATATATATATATATATATATATATATATATATATATACACACACACACAAACACACACATTGTGGAATGGCTAAATCAAGGAAATTAACATATCCAGTACCCCACGTGGTTTTTTGGTTTGTTTGTTATGTTTTTGTGGTGAGATGCTATAGTTTTATGTTTTCCAGAATGTTATATAAATGGAATCTGTATTAGTCCATTTTCATGCTGCTAATAAAGACATACCCAAGACTGAGGAATTTACAAAAGAAAGTGGTTTATTGGACTTACAGTTTTACATGCTGGGGAGGCCTCACAATCATGACAGAAGGCAAGGAGGAGCAAGTCACGTCTTACATGGATGGCAGCAGGCAGAAGGAGAGCTTTTTCATGGAGACTCTCATTTTTAAAATCATTAGATCTCCTGAGACTTACTCACTATCAGGAGAACAGTATGGGAAAGACCCGACCTCATGATTCAATTATCTCCCACAGGGTCCCTCCCATAACAGGTAGGAATTATGGGATCTACAAGATGAGATTTGAGTGGGGACACAGAGCCAAACCATATCAGAATCTTACAGTATATAGCTTTCTGGATTTGACTTTTTTTTTAATTTAATGCCATTCAAATTCATCAATGTCATGTCATACATGTCAACTATTTAACTAACATGTCATACATGTATTTGTAGTTATTTCTTATTTGCTGAATATTACTCCATTATTCAACTGTACCCCAATTTGATTATCCATTCAACAGTTGATGGACCTTTGGTTTCTCTCCAGATTCTGGCAATTATGAATGAAGCTGCTATAAATGTTTACAAACAGTTTTTGAATGGAAATCGATTTCATTTCTCTTAGAGAAATTTTCTCTTGGAGGAACATTATATTCCTAGATGTAAGATTGCTAAATCATATGATAGGAGTGTGTTTAACTTCTTATAATATTACAAAAACTGTTTTCCAAAGTGGTTATGTTGTTTTGCATTTCTCCCAATCCATAAGAGGATGCTCACTGCACCTCATCATTCCCAGAAGTTGGAATTGTTGAATTTATTTTCATTTTATAGCCATTCTATTAGATATGAAGTGATATCTCAGTATAGTTTCAATTTTAATTTCCATAATAAGTAATGATATTGAGTAATTTTACATGTTTATTAGCTGTCTATGTCTTCGCTAGTGTGTCTGTTCAAATCTTTTTCCATTTTTTCTTATTGTGTGTTTATGTTCTCCTTGGTAAATTGTAATAGTTCTTTATATTTTCTGTACACATCTTTTATTAATATTTCTTTACAAATTTTTTTATTTTAATATTTATATTCATGTTTGCTCTAATTTTTATTTTCTTCCTCCTGCTTCCATTGAGCTTACTTTTCTGTTCAATTACTAATTCCTTGAGATGCAGGGTTAGATTCACTTTGACATTTTCCCTATTATCCTAATATAAGGATGTAATGTATAAATTTTCTTTCGAATCCTATACCTCCACTTTACATATTTTTATATATTTTTAAAATTTTATTCAATCCAATGTATTTACCAATTTCCCTTGTGACTTTCTCTTTGACCCAAAGTTATTGAGAAGTGTATTTTTATTTTCTAAGTGTTTGGGAAATATTTCCAACATCTTTTCATTATGTACTCTAGTTTACTCATTTGGTTTTCAATTCTTTATATCTGTTAGTTTATGTTAAGGTAGAAAATATAGTCTCCTGGTGAATGTTTCATGTGTGGTTGAAGAGAATGTGTCTTCTGCTGTTTGGTGGACTGTTCAAGTATGTCAAGTTGATTGATTATGTTGTTCAAGTCTCATATATTCTTAATGTCTTTGTGTCTTTAGGAGAGAGGTCATGAAGTCTCTACATGTAATTGCAAACTTGTCTGATTTTTCTCTCTGTTCTGTCAGTTTCTTCATATAGTTTTGAAGGAAATGTACATGTAGGCATAAAATTATTAAATCTTTTTAAGGAATTGCTTTCATTATCATTGTAAGTTTTCATTTACCTCTGCTAATATTGTTTGTTCAGAGTTTGTTTTGATAGTAATATAGCCTATCTTTCTTCTGATAACTGTTTGTATTATATGGCATTTTTAATCATTATAATTTTAACATATATATGTTTATATATTAAAAGCAGATTTCTTTTAAAAGTATCGAATTTCTGGCTTTTGAATCTAATCTTCCAAACTTTTTTCTATTGGCAATTTAGAATATTTCACATAGTTTCACATAACATAAACCTATATAGTTTTTTAATAGTTATTAATATGATTGAATTTAAATCTGTCATCTTTCTAGATGTTCTTGCTTTTCCCATCATTTTTGTTTTATTTTACTCCTTGTTTTGAAACACACAAAAATGATTATTTTTATGATTACACATTTTTCCCTACTAGCTTATTAGGTTTACTTGTTTAGAATGTTTTAGTTTCATTAACACTTAAAGTATACAACTTTAATATAACAGTCTACTTTCAAACAATATGATATAATTTCACACATATTATTAAAACCTTGCAACAATATACTCTAACTCCTCCAAGTTATCCTTTATACTGTTTGTAATACATTTGAATTTTATATGTTATAAGCATCACAAGATAGTACTTTTTGCTTGATGATTGTCTTTTAAAATAAGTAATGAAAGAAAAAAAGTATTTTATAATTACTCTCATTTTACCATTACTAGGCACACTTCTTCTATTTGTGCAGATCCAAATTTTTATCTTTTGCCTGAAGAATAATGTTTCTTGTAGCTCAATTTTGCTGGTATTTTTTTTTAACTTTTTTCTAACAGCCTTTATTTTGCCTTCATTTTATTTTGCCTTCATTTTATTTTTCATGATTTTTTGATGGAAAAATAGAATTTGAAGTTGACTGGTTGTTTCTTCTTTCAGCAGTTTAGGCCTGGTTTGCATAATTTCTGATAAAAAGTCTGATGTCATGACTCTTGGATGCTCTGGTCTTTTCATTATTTTTTCTCTTTTGTTTCATTTTGGGGATTTTTATTGATCAAAATTAAAGTTTCCTGATTCTTTAGCTTTGTTCATTCTTCTAATAATCCCACTGCATGAATTCTCTATCAATGATATTGATATTTTATTTCTCGCATTTTCTAAAAGCGTTTCTAGCTTTTATTTCTAGCATTTTCATTTGACTTTATTCTACAGTTTTAGTCTCTCTGCCAAAACTCCTTGTTTATCTGTTAACAAATGCTGTCCTCTTTTTCCAATAAATTCTTTAACATGTTAATCATAGTTATTCTAAAGTCTTTGACTGCTCACCCTTTTTTGGTCTTGGTGATTACTTATTTGTTGAAAATAAATCACATTTTATTTGCTTGCTTTACATGTTTCATAATTTTTTATGGAATGCTGGATATTATGTAGTGAAGAGTAGAAGCTGGTAAAGATAGAGTTTCTGCTCATTGATAGGCACAACTCTTGTATCATCAGGCATCTAGTATAAGCTTTGGATTAACGTAGCCAGTTGAGTTTGGTTTGAGTTTTATTTTTTATCATGATTCAAATTGCTTCAGTGGTGGTCTGCCTGTTACTTTGTTCTTAGTGCGTGTTTGGCAAGCTAGAGAATCCTCTCAACATTTATGCTTACTCTGAGCTTTCAACAGTTCCTTCAGTCCTGTGCTACAGCTAAGAGTCTCCACATCCTCCCTCAGTGTTAGACTGATGCTGTTTCTTTCTCAATGCTAGGCTTTTGTTTTAGGCAAGATAGATTTTCTCTGTTGTCTTTGTCCAGCTTCTGTCTTAGGCAGGTCCTAAGAACCTATACCTCTAAAGTTAGGCATGTTTAGCATTTCTGGCCTTTCTTCTACTGGCATCCAAACTGAGTTTGTATCTGTGGTTGATCTTGAACAGGAGCTTTATATCTCAATTTCAGTGGATTATAAATGTAGCTTCCAGGGAAAAAAACTGGTCCCACACCTCTCCTGTAGATGCATTTTGCTTATATGTCTCTCTTGCACAAATGGATTTTTTGCCTGTGCCCTGATAGTAAAAAGTTTTGTTCCTCCTCTTCCAGCTGGGTAAGAATTTTCTTTGTATAAATGGTAAATCCAGGAAAGAGTACAAGTTTTTGATCTGTCACTTTCAAAACTGCCAAGCACCTCAGCATTTCTATGAGCTTTTTAGATCTTCTGCCTTGTCCCAATCTGAGGACGCTGAGGAAGAGCTTGCAAGTGAGTGAAAACTCTTTTTTTTCCCCTAGGTTCCCCAGCTGTTCTAAACATGGCCTTTAAGAACGTGTTAAAATTTTAGCTGATTTCTTCTTAACTGGTGAATGGCAGCTAAATCTTTCTCCAATTTCCTGTCATAGTTAGAAGAGTGGGTTTCCCTTGTATCTCCTTGGAGGACATTGACCTTATTTAATATTTAGTTGGCTTGAATAAACTCAAAGTGAGTCCATGACTGGCTAAAAATATGACAAATAACTTAGCCTCCAACAATATAGTTGATATGTGCTCTGTTGATATTTATATTTTTTATTATGTAGACTGACATGACCAGACTTCATTTCTGATTACAAAAATCAGCACAGTGACGTAGTTTCATTAAGTATTTAAATTTTAAGATAAACATTTTCAGCCGGGCGTGGTGGCTCACACCTGTAATTCCAGCACTTTGGGAGGCCAAGGTGGGTGGATCACCTGAGGTCAGGAGTTCGAGACCAACCTGGCCAACATAGTAAAACCCCATCTCTACTAAAAATACAAAAATTAGCCAGGCGTGATGGTGGTACCTGTAATCCCAGCTACTCAGGAGGCTGAGGCAGGAGAATCGCTTGAACTCAGGAGGCAAAGTTTGCAGTGAGCCGAGATCAGGCCACTGCACTCCAGCCTGGGTGACAGAGTGAGACTCTGTCTCAAAACAATAAAATAAAAATAAATAAAAAATAAAAACATTTTAAAGGCATCCAGGTATGACAAGCAAATCACTTACAAGGAAGAGAAATCAAATTGGCCTCGAGATTCTCTATACAAGCATAAAATGTCCTAAGACAATTGAAAAATGTCCAATAAAATTATACCCATCCAAGGGCTCATAAGCTTCAACATGATAATTAGGCACTTACAAACAAGAAGTTAAAATGTGATAAAATTTGGCATGTATATTAGACGTAGACCTGGCATGATGTAGCACTGGATTAAGTGTGTGTGTGTGTGTGTGTGTGTGTGTGTGTGTGTGTGTAGTGGTAGTAAGGGAAAGAAAGGTATTAAGAATGATGACAGGGTCCTTGTTCTTTTGTCTTGAGAAACTGAGTGAATAATAGTACTTTTTGCTGAAATAGGAAAGATTGATGGAAAATCACATTATGAGGTGAGAGGCACAAATCAAAAAGTTCTATTTTAGACATGTTTAACTTGAGATGCCTATTAATCATTCAAGTGACAGCTGGGTTTATGAATTTGGAGCTCAGCAGAAAAGTTAGACAAGAGGACATATGTTTGGAACTCTTCACCCAATTTATAGTATTTTAAGCAATACAACTAAGATTAAATAGAAAAACGTTTTAGAGAAGTAATAAAATAGAGCTTACAACCAAGAAATAAAAGGTTCAAAAAGTTAAGAAAAAAAAACAAGAAATGTACTATCACAGAAAAAGCAAGAAAAAGTCAGGAATCAGGTAGTTGTCAACTGTGTGAAATTCAACAAAGAAGCAGGCAGAACACTAGGGAATTTAATGCAACTTCAGCAAAGCATAGAGGACAAAAGCCTGATCAAAGAGAATTTGAAAGAAAATGGGAGATGAGGACAAAGAGATGGCAAGATAGATTACTTTTAAATTATTCTGTGAAAAGGTGAGAAAAAAAGGCAAATGCTGGAATAAAATGTAGCATAAACAGTGGAGATTTTTAGATTAAAATGCATTGTTTTTTTCTTGCAAGATTTGAGATACCAAAGCACATTGGTTTAATTATTCAGTATAGCAGAAAAATTGTTGGTGTGAGAGAGAAAGGACGGGTCAAGAAAGACTGAAATATTTAGGAAGGAAGGAGGGTGAAAATCTGGGTCACAAGTACAGGATTGGCCTTTAGTAGGACCACAGACACTTCTTTGTAGTGTCAGGAAGAGAAACAGAGCATGTGCGTTACAAATTCGGTAGGTTATAGGTTTGTTTACAGGAAGATTAAATCATTCCTGTCTATATCTTGATAAGCAAATATGAGGTGAAGATCTCATCTGAGAGTAGCTAGGGGATTGGAGAGGTTGGAAGAGAGAAGAAAAATACAATTGTTGTCCCTGGGAATGGGAATTCTCACTTATTGGGGAAATGTAAAAAATTGTCTGAATATGTTGATTACCCATTTCAGCTGTGTGGGTATAAATGGAAAGATAATTCGTGTAACCTGATTGAATAATTTTCTACAGCAAAATTCAACTTTTCACATATAAGTGTAGTATAGAAGAAGTGTTGGATTAAATAGATTTGCAGTTCAGCTAGGTGAATAAGAAGGGGAAATGTCAAGAAATAAGGATTTTCCTAATAATTTTGATGAAACACCAGATCTTGAACTGGAATTTTAATTGGAAGATGAAACTAATGATTGATAACAGAAAAGAAAATAGTAAATTTGTCCAGCTGAATTAATAGAAAAATGAGGAGGAGGCAGGAGTACAGGGAAATGCTTAAAAGTGGAATTTTGGAAGTATTCCGTTACAAATTAGCGTGGTTGTGTTCCAATAACGTTTTACTTAAAAATAAAACAGGTGGCAGACCAGATTTAGAACATGGGCCATAGCTTGCAGACTCCTATATTAATGGGTGACATGGAACTCTACTAGTCTAAAGTAGTGTTCAGAAGATACTGCTTTATAGTTCCAAGTTCAGGCCACAGGTCTAGACTGGGGTAACAGTTTCTCTATCACTAAGACAATATGACCAAGTGGATGTCATGATACTAGCCTTAGCCGTCATGCATAAGATGCTGGAGGGAGCTTCTGGAGAACCCCTCAAAAAGATGTATTTTACAAAGTGATAAGCAGATCCTTGCCGCAGAACACAATGGGGACCTCTTGATTTCTGCTATGAAACTTCTCTGACACTGTTGTAAATGAAACCCTGTAGCATCCTGATCAGCACTCATATAAAAACATGCAGAAAGTCCAGAGTAATTAACACTTTCAGTGCCAGCTTTGATCCACAGAGTACAGGAAATAATGGTCAGATGTTTTTGTCTTTTATCACCTGAGTACATAGTTTTAATAGATATTTTATAAGACTTCTCAGAATTTTCTGCTTGACAGTACTAGTTGCTCATAGTCACGGCCAACTCAGTTACATAGGCTTGTATTTGTTTCCCCTTCTGCATTTTGCTTTCTTCATCTCTCTACTGATCATTCTGAGATTACCTTCCCCAAAACACCACCTGTATCAAATGCTCATCTCAGAAACTTATTTCAAGGGAACTCAGTGCAAGATGTCCTATTAAAACTGTTTTAAAATGCAAAAGGCAAAATTGCATTATATTCCAATCTTCCAAGATAAGAACAAAGAAGTTTTTATTTCTGCATGCATTTATTTATGAAGAAACATAATATCCCCCCCAAAACCTAATTTTAGATACAACAAAGAATGTGGAACAATGAATCTCCTTTTCTTTCTCATAGAAATGAAAACGATGTATTTGAATACAGATTTAGGAGTCAAATATAATCAAATGAGTCTGTAAGCTGAACTGGTCAGCAGTATTTGATATAATTCCAAGTAACTTAAATGATGCCTCTGAACCTCTGTATAAAGAAATTAAACTAAAAGGCAATTTGTTTTTCACAGATGAAAACACAAATCAGATTTTTAAATGAGACTATTTCTATTTTCTCTACTATTTTGTGTGGCTTCTTCATTTCTCTTTGTTTTTCATAGAGGGTGTTCAGAAGAGAAGTTTAGTAAGTTGAGGTAGAGTATTCAGGAAAAGAAAACTAACCCTGTTAATTTATTTATTTTGAATCATATTTGGAGTCATAGCATGTAGCTTTACCTTTATTTTAACTTGGTTATGGGGGAAAATGAAGATAAATGATAGTCTTCCCTCCTCTGTTTGCATATTTTGTTCTTTATTTCTCTAAACTAGAGATGTGCTGAGTGTAACACAATATGTCACTCTTAAATGGGTTACTACTTCTATCTGTCACATTTGATCATAAGACACACCGGTTTGGGGCATGAAACATGCAAATAAAAATCAGGGAAATAAAAACAATTTCCATTTTCACTTAAAAATTCACAAACTGTGGTGCTCTGAGCAGCATATGGTAGTTAAGAAAATATGTCTTTCATTTGTCTTGCTTTCACAGAAAACGCAATTTGGAGAAAGAGTGAATGCTGAAGATGTTTTCGTTTAGCTGCCCAAGCATTTGGGAGTGCTATGAAGATATCACTTAATTGAAAGAGAGGCTATGAAGTCTTGTTCCCCTCTTGTCTTGAGCCTAATGTGACCAAAGAGGTTAGATGTGATATTTTAACTCATCAGTTGACGGAAACGTTTTGTATAACGTACCCAAATAATCAAAATTTCCAAAACAAAACATGGCGCTACAGTTGCCCTTTGGTTCTTCATTAAACTGAGTGCCTTGTAAAAGCTGTAACCAGTGTTTGACACAAGAGAAGCCTCAGCAACACTAGAAAAAATGATTAATTATCAACATCTGAATTTCACCATTAGTCAAATCTCAGCCTGCCCTCTCTGCCTGTAGAATCTTGTCTGCCATGATGACTCCTGTTAGAAATCATCTTACTTTTAGTTTTTAGTTTTCTCTCTCTGATTTGTAGACTTCACCTCTTTTGCTAGCAAAAAGTTCCACAAAGCACAATTTTTCACTTTTTACGATTAGCAAGCCCCATGAAATACAACATAATTTATTGTGTATGAGACAATTCTGTGCCTATTGATTCTACCTGTTTTGAGAAAAAAAGAAAAAAACTTTAATTACCAAAAAAAAGCCATTAATGCAATCTTCTTAATATCATAAGGTTACTTTGTTCAGTTTCAGATGATTCACGTGTCACATCTGGTAAACTAAACCCAGGGATTTTTTAAAAAGTAGTTGTGAACCGTCAAAGGAAAAAGTAGAAGAAAGGGTGTGAAGAGGTAAGAAAAAGAGAAGAGGTAACTTGGAATTAGAAGTTGCTGCTCTGCCAATTAGTACCTTAGACTAATCTCTTTAACTCTCTGAGATTCCATTTACACTGATATGAGACTAATAATACTTGTATCACCAGGTTGTTCAAGGAGAATATGAAATGATATATATGAATACCTTCTTTAGCTACAAAACACTTAACATGTTATCTACCATTTCTCAGTAAAACTGCAGAATTTTAAGGTAGAGTATATCTAGTTGGAGGATAGTTTATAAAATAATAATAATATCTTAACGATTTATTATGCATTAACATCAACTGAGATAACACCCAAGACTTTTTTTTTGGTATTTCATAACTCTTCTATTTTTAGAAAGCCAATCGATGACTATTTTCTGTATTCATATTTCCAGTTGAAATATACTTTCTTGATCTGATAATTTTTACCCAATAACATTTAGTGATTTTGTAGCAAGTCACAATAAAGAACAATAAACACTACTTTTCAACCTGGGCAATTCTGCCTTGAGGTCATATTTAAAATTATCAGTAGAAAGAAAAGTTATTTTGTTTGGATCAAAGACTAAGACAGTGACAAAATCTGCATATCCTTCATCCTCTCACTCTTGAGAATCTTTACTTTTGTTGTGTATTTGTCTACAGTTGTTAGCTCAACAATGTCACCCAAGGTCTTGAGATCTGGAACAGCTGCAACTACAGATCAAAAGTCCTCAGAAAGCAAAATTTCTTGGTGATGGCAAAAGAGAAGAAAAGTACTTTTCCAAAAAAAGTATTTAAGAAGCACTTTGGAATATATCTAAACTGCATTGCAAACAGTCTTGTTTAGACTTGTCTTTGACAGACTATACCTTACTTAGATCATCATTTTAATTTTGACTTCCATCCAGAAGTTGATGCCTGAATTTTTACAGGAAAAAATCTCATGTTTCTCAACTCTAAGGAATGAACACATCTAGTGCTACTTCTCTGAGACAGAAACAGGGATAAGGTGGGGGAAAAAAAAGGGTAAACCCAGAATATTTTGGACTATAAAGTTAGAAAATTGTCAAAGAAAGAGGGAGCATGTTAAAAGGATATAGGAGCCAACCAAATGGACAATTTAAACTTCAAAATAAATAATAATATTAATAGGGGATAACCCATCAACTAAAATAAGAATCATGAGTCTATGCTGTTATACATAAATAAATGGAAAATTTGAAAGCTTAATGAGAAATGGGATATGTATATAGTTTCAAAGTACATCCTCATAAAATACTGATTAATTACAAGGAGAAAATGAGCAACTTTGCAGTGAAGAAGCCTGGCAGACACCACCTTAATGAAGTGATCAAAGTCAACAGTATAAATAATTAAATAAACTAAAATACTTTGCCACTTGACAGAATGCAATGAGAAAAACATAGCATCCCATGCACTTAATGAGGAACATGAGCCAACTCCAAGTAGAAGGCCGTACCACAAGATAAATGTACAGGAATCTTTAAAAACTTCAAGCTCATGAAAGCTAAGGAAAAACTGAGGAACTGCTTCAGATTGAAAGAAACTAAAGAGGAATATTTAAATGCAATGCATGATTCTGAACTCCATCATTCTGCTCTAAAGGTCACTATTGGTGTGATTGATGAAACCTGAATGATGTCTGAGGTTTAGATGGCAGTAATGTCCCAATGTTTATTTCTTGGTATTGATGGTTATTGTAATTATGTAGAAGAATATATTGTTTGTAGAAAATACACACTAAAATATTCAAGGGTTATAGAACATCAAGTGAGCAAGCAACATATCCTCAAATACCATCATGGAAAATAAGGTTTGACAATGCACTTGCAACTTTTCTGTAGATTTGAGATTGTAATATATTCATAAGTATCAGAAACAAATTATTACAGTGCATAGGCATTGATCCACAGGAAAAAAACCTTGATTATTTTAATAGTATTTCTTAATTTCATTTAATTAAAGAAAAAATCAATGAAAATAGAATTATATTTAGTGAAACGTAAAATCCCATTCACACCTTTCCTACTTCTCAATCCACTTTCCAAGTGTAAACACTAGTATTGGCCTTTTCCTGTGAATTTATATGTATGAGAATAGCAATGTAACGAAGGGTTAATACTATACTACTAGGCAGCTAGTCTGCCTGAGTTCAAATCCCTCTGAGTTCAGATCTAGTCTTAGCAGTTCTGCAAATCTGAGAAAGTTACTTAACTTCTCCTCACAGCAATGCCTTCATTTTGGCAACTGGGTTGGTAATCACATCTAATGAATAAGGTAGTTATAAAGATTAAATGGTATAATACATATAGAGGTCCTAGAATTATGTTTGCCCATAATAATCATGCTCTTATAGACAGGTGTGTCTAGTTTTCCACTAAAAATGAGATCAAAATATAAATATAGTTGTGCAATTTTACTTTTCTATATGTATAATATACATATAGTTGGGGAATTTTACAATCAGTATTCCACATTGCTTTTTTGTCTTGTTTTAGTAAAAATTATTATTGTAATTTTTCTTAATAAAACTATATCATGAACATGTCTTTTCATCTATGATTATAGAGGAGAGCTGATTAGACCATCATGCTTAGTTCAAAAATTCCACAACTCTGCTGGTTATCCATTTTTTTCCGAGGACCCAAAGTGCTTTTCTCTATATGGTAGCTCCATTCAGAATTACCTTTGAAGCAATCCCAACAGCACCAGGATGTCTGACTGACAACCTGAGATCCCAAGTTGCCCTCTAAATGCCAGGAGATGGACAGCAGCTGATGTGCTCAGCATTCAGGAGAACAAGGAAAGCCAGCACAGGTGGAAAGGACCAGAAAGATGAGATCAGACCAGTCCCAATGAGATGAGCTGGGTACCTCAGTTGGAAATGCAGAAATCACCCACCTTCTGCATTGATCTCACTGGGAACTGCAGACCGGAGCTGTTCCTATTCTGCCATCCTGCCAGCCAGAATGGGTGCAGCCCACAGAGGATAAGCCAAAGCAGAGTGGGTTGTCACCTCACCCAGGAAGCACAAGGGGTTGAGGAACTCCCTCCCCTAGCCAAGGGAAGGCATGAGGGACTGTGCCCTGAAGAAGGGTACACTCTGGCCCAGATTTTACGCCTTTCCCACTATCTTCGCAACTTGCAGACTAGGAGATTTCCTCGGGTGCCTACGCCATCAGAGCCCTAGGTTTCAAGCACAAAACTGGGCAGCCATTTGGCAGACACCAGGCTAGCTGCAGGAGTTTGTTTTCATACCCTAGTGGCACCTGGAATGCCAGCAAGACAGAACCATTCACTCTCCTGGAAAGGGGGCTGAAGCCAGGGAGCCAAGTGGTCTAGCTCAGCTGATCCCATGCCCACAGAGCCCAGCAAGCTAAGATCCACTGGCTTGAAATTCTTGCTGCCAGCACAACAGTCTGAAGTGGACCTGGGATGCTCGAGCTTGGTCAGGGGAGGGGCGTCCACCATTACTGAGGCTTGGGTAGGTGGTTTCCCATCACAGTGTAAACAAAGCCACCTGGAAGTTTGAACTGGGTGGAGACCACCGCAGCTTTGCCAAGCCACTGTAGCCAGACTGCTTCTCTGGATTCCTCCTCTCTGGGCAGGGAATCTCTGAAAAAAAGGCAGCAGACCCAGTAAGGGGCTTATAGATAAAACTCCCATCTCCTTGGGACAGAGCACTTAGAGGAAGGGGCAGCTGTGGGCACAGCTTCAGCAGACTTAAATATTCTTGCCTGCTGGCTCTGAAGAGAGCAGCGGATCTCCCAGCACAGCACTGGAGCTCTGCTAAGGGACAGACTGCCTCCTCAAATGGGTTTCTGACCCCTATGCCTCCTGACTGGACGATACGTCCTAATAGGGGTCAACAGGCACCTCATATAGGAGAGCTCTGGCTGGCATCAGGTGGATGCCCCTCTGGGATGAAGCTTTCAGAGGAAGGAACAGGCAGTAATTTTTGCTGTTCTGCAGCTTCTGCTGGTGATACCCAGGAAAAGACGGTCTGGAGTGGACCTCCAAGCAAACTCCAGCAGACCTGCAGCAGAGGGGCTTAACTGTTAGAAGAAAAACTAACAAACAGAAAGGAATAGCATCAACATCAACAAAAAGGATGTCCATGCAAAAACCCCATCCAAACGTCCCTAACATCAAAGACCAAAGGTAGATAAATCCACAAAGATGAGGAAAAAACAGTGCAAATGCTGGAAAATTCCAAAAACCAGAATGCCTCTTCTCTTCCAAAGGATCACAACTCCCTGCCAGCAAGGGAACAAAACTAAATGCAGAATGAGTTTGACGAATTGACAGAAGTATGCTTCAAAAGGTGGGTAATAACAAACTCCTCTAAGCTAAAGGAGCATGTTCTAACCCAATGCAATGAAGCTAAGAACCTTGAAAAAACGTTAGAGGAATTGCTAACTAGAATAACCAGTTTATAGAAGAACATAAATGACCTCATGGAGCTGAAAAACACAGCATGAGAACTTTGTGAAGCATATACAAGTATCAATAGCCAAATCAATCAAGCGAAAGAAAGGATACCAGAGATTGAAGATCAACTTAATGAAATAAAGCATGAAGACAAGATTAGAGAAAAAAGAATGAAAAGGAATGAACAAAGCCTCCAAGAAATATGGGACTATGTGAAAAGGCCAAACCTACATTTGATTGGTGTACCTGAAAGTGACAGGGAGAATGGAACCAAGTTGGAAAACATTCTTCAGAATATTATCCAGGAGAATTTCCCCAACCTAGCAAGACAGGCCAACATTCAAATTCAAGAAATACAGAGAATACCACAAAGATATTCCTCAAGTAGAGCAACCCCAAGACACATATATAATCATCAGATTCACCAAGATTGAAATGGAGGAAAAAATGTTAAGGGCAGCCAAAGAGAAAGGTTGGGTTACCCACAAAGGGGAGCCCATCAGTGTAACAGCGGATCTCTCTGCAGAAATCCTACAAGCCAGAAGACAGTGGGGACCAATATTCAACATTCGTAAAGAAATAATTTTCAACCCAGAATTTCATATCCAGCCAAACTAAGCTCATAAGCGAAGGAGAAATAAAATCCTTTACAGACAAGCAAATGCTAAGAGATTTTGTTACCACTAGGCCTGCCTTTCAAGAGCTCCTGAAGGAAGCACTAAATATGGAAAGGAAAAACCAGTACCAGCCACTGCAAAAACATACCAAATTGTAAAGACCATCAACATTATGAAGAAACTGCATCAACTAAAGGGCAAAATAACCAGCTAGCATCATAATAAAAGGATCAAATTTACACATAACAATATTAACCTTAAGTGTAAATGGGCTAAATGCCACAATTAAAAGACAAAGATTGGCAAATTGGATAAAGTCAAGACTCACTGGTGTGCTGTATTCAGGAGACTCATCTCACATGCAAAGACACACATGGTTTAAAACAAAGGGATGGAAGAAGATTTACCAAGCAAATGGAAAGCAAAAAAAGCAGGGGTTGCAATCTTAGTCTCAGATAAAACAGACTTTAAACCAGCAAAGATCGAGAAAGACCAAGAAGGGCATTACATAATGATAAAGGGATCAATGCAACAAGAAGAGCTAACTATCCTAAATATATATGCACCCAAAACAGGAGCACCCAGATTCATAAAGAAAGTTCTTAGAGACCTACAAAGAGACTTAGACTCCCACACAATAATAGTCAGAGACTTTAACACCCCACTGTCAATAATAGAGGGATCAACAAGACAGAAAATTAACAAGGACATTCAGGACTTCAACTCAGCTCTAGTCCAAGCAGACCTAATAGACATCTACAGAACTCCCCACCCCAAATCAACAGAATATACATTCTTCTCAGCACCACATAGCACTTATTCTAAAATTGACCACATATTTGGAAGTAAAACATTTCTCAGCAAATGCAAAAGAACAGAAATCATAACAGTCTCTCAGACTACAGAGCCATCAAATTAGAACTCAGGATTAAGAAAATCACTCAAAACTGCACAACTACATGGAAACTGAACAACCTGCTCCTGAATGACTACTGGGTAAATAACGAAATTAAGGCAGAAATAAATAAGTTCTTTGAAACCAATGGGAACAAAGACACAATGTACCAGAATCTCTGGGACACAGCTAAAACAGTATTTAGAGGGAAATGTATAGTACTAAATGCCCACAGGAGAAAGTGGGCAAGATCTAAAATTGACTCCCTAACATCACAATTAAAAGAACTAGAGAAGCAAAAGCAAACAAATTCAAAAGCTAGCAGAAGACAAGAAATAACTAAGATCAGAGCAGAACTAAAGGAGATAGAGACACGACAAACCCTTCAAAAAAATCAATGAATCAAGGAGCTGCTTTTTGAAGATTAAAAAAATAGACTGCTAGCCAGACTAATAAAGAAGAAAAGAGAGAAGAATCAAATAGACAGCATAAAAAATATAAAAGGGGATATCATCAGTGATCCTACAGAAGTGCAAACTACCATCACAGAATACTATAAACACCTCTATGCAAATAAACTAGAAAATCTAGAAGAAATGGATAAATTCCTGGACACATACACCCTCCTAAGACTAAAGTCGAATCCCTGAATAGACCAATAACAAGTTCTGAAATTGAGGTAGTAATTAATAGCCTACCATCCAAAAGAAGCCCAAGCCCAGATGGATTCACAGACGAATTCTAATCCTCTGTACAAAGAGAAACTGGTACCTTTCCTTCTGAAACCATTCCAAATAATAGAAACAGAGGGACTCCTCCCTAACTCATTTTATGAGGCTAGCATCATTCTGATACCAAAACCTGGCCAGAGACACAACACAAAAAGAAAATTCAGGCCAATATCCCTGATGCAATTTAATGTGAAAATCCTGAAGAAAATACTGGCAAACTGAATCCAGCAGCACATCAAAAAGCTTATCCAATCAAGTCGGCTTCATCTCTGGGATGCAAGGCGGGTTCAACATATGCAAATAAATCAACATAATCTATCACATAAATAGAAACAATGACAAAAAAAATGATTATCTCAATAGATGCAGAAAAGGCCTTCTATAAAATTCAACACTCCTTCATGCTAAAAATTTTCAATACACTAGGCATTGATGGAACATATCGCAAAATATAAGAGGTATTTATGACAAATCCACAGCCAATATCATACTGAATGAGCAAACACTAGAAGCATTCCCTTTGAAAACCAGCACAAGACAAGGATGCCCTCTCTCACCACTCTATTCAACATAGTATTGGAAGTTCTGGCCAGGGATATCAGGAAAGAGGAAGAAATAAAGGGTATTCAAATAGGAAGAGAGGAAGTCAAATTGTGTCTGTTTGCAGATGACATGATTGTATGTTTAGAAAACCCCATCGTCTCAGCCCAAAATCTCTTTAAGCTGATAAACAACTTCAGCAAAGTCTCAGGATACAAAATCAATGGGCAAAAATCACAAGCATTCCTATACACCATTAATAGAAAGCCAAATCATGAGTGAACTTCCATTCACAATTGCTACAAAAAGAATAAAATACCTAGGAATCCAACTTACAAGGGATGTGAAGGGCCTCTTCCAGGAGAACTACAAACCACTGCTCAAGGAAATAAGAGAGAACATAAACAAATGGAAAAAATATTCCATGCTCATGGATTGAACGAATCAATATAGTGAAAATGGCCATAGTGACCAAAGTAATTTATAGATTCAATGCTATCCCCATCAAGCTACCATTGACTTTATTCACAGAATTAGGAAAAACTACTTCAAATTTCATATGGAACCAAAAAAAGCCCATATAGCCAAGACAATCCTAAGCAAAAAGAACAGAGCTGGAGGCATCAAGCTACCTGATTTCCAACTATACTACGAGGCTACAGTAATCAAAACAGCATGGTACTGGTACCAAACCAGATACATAGACCAATGGAACAGAACAAAGGCCTCAGAAATAACATCACACATCTACAACCATCTGATCTTTGACAACCCTTACAAAAACAAGCAATGGGGAAAGGACTTCCTATTTAATAAATGCTGTTGGGAAAACTGGCTAGCCATGTGCAGAAAACTGAAACTGGACCCCTTCTTTACACCTTACACAAAAATTAACTCAAGATGGAATAAAGACTTAAAGCTAAGACCTAAAACCATAAAAACCATAGAAGAAAACCTATGCAATACCATTCAGGACATAGGCATGGGCAAGGACTTCATGACTAAAACACCAAAAGCAATGGCAACAAAAGCCAAAATTGACAAATGGGTTCTAATTAAACTGAAGATCTTCTGCACAGCAAAAGAAACTATTGCGGGATCTGGCCAGCAGCCTGCAATGCACTGGGGCTCTCTCTTTGTTCCCAGGTGGATCGGCAGGTCGAGAAATAATAGACACACACAAGATAGTGAAAGCTGGGTCCAGGGGGGTAACCGCCTTCTGGTCACATGGTGCCGCCAATGCACTGGATATACCAGCATTTATTACTAAGTTTAGTGAGGGCGGGGGCAGGTTGGTAAGGGATTTAGGGTCATTTGATTATGAGGTGAGATGGTCACATGGGGATGAAGTAATTCTTTAACATAACATCTGTATGCAGAAGTACAGTATACAGAGATAAGAATTTACAATATAGTGTGTGTATCAGTAATTTCTAACAGAGCCTTAAAACAGAAACACAGTCTTTCCTTTACCTATGATTAGCAAGATTTTAATCAGCAGTAACAGTTGCAGCAAAAGCTGGTTACAAACAATCCATAGAAACAGGACTTGAAGCTAGACAACCGGTTAGACCAGCAATTCTCAGAAGGGAGTATGCCTTAACCCTAAAGAGGCCTAGAAGAGCCGTGGCAAGATGAGGGCGTTTATAGCCTTATCTCATCCATATGGACAGGTGCTCCCCATGCATTCGTTTATAGGCTTTCCACAAGGGTCACATTCCATTCCCAGAGCTATGAACATCTGCTTTTCTGGGATAGGAATCTTGGTGATGTGAAACCTCCCTGACTGCACGTCCATTCACAGGCTCTCTACAGGGGGAAGCACATCACGCACTGTTGGCTCATTCTGGCAGTCCAACCTGGCATTGTCTTTACACAATCCTGCATGCAATTTTGTATTTACAATAATCAGGAGCATTTCATCTTTTATTCCATAGCAATAGTTTCAGGGGGTCTCCCTACAGAAACTAACATCAGAGTGAACAGGCAACCTACAGAATGGAAGAAAATTTTTGCAATCTATCCATCTGACAAAGGGCTAATATCCAGAAACTACAAAGAACTTAAACAAATTTACAAAAAACAAACAAACAACCCCATCGAAAAGTGGGCAAAGGATATAAACAGACTCTTCTCAAAAGAAGACATTTATGTGGCCAACAAACATATGAAAAAAAGCTCATCAGCACTGGTCATTAGAGAAATGCAAATCAAAACCCCAATGAGATACCATCTCACGCCAGTTAGAATGGCGATCATTAAAAACTCAGGAAACAGCAGATGCTGGAGAGGATATGGAGAAATAGGAACGCTTTTACACTGTTGGTGGGAGTGTAAATTAGTTCAACCATTGTGGAAGACAGTGTGGTGATTCCTCATAGATCTAGAATCAGAATTACCATTTGACCCAGCAATCCCATTACTGGGTATATACCCAAAGGATTATAAATCATTCTACTATAAAGACACATACACATGTATGTTTATTGCAGCACTATTTACAATAGCAAAGACTTGGAACCAATCCAAATGTCTATCACTGATAGACTGGATAAAGAAAATGTTGCAAATATACACCATGGAATACTATGCAGTCATAAAGAAGGAAAGGTTCACGTCCTTTTCAGGGACATGGATGAAGCTGGAAACCATCATTCTCAGCAAACTAACACAGGAACAGAAAACCAAACACCACATGTTCTCACTCATAAGTGGGAGTTGAACAATGAGAACACATGGACACAGGGAGGGGAATATCACACACCAGGGCCTGTCGGGGCTTGGGGGACTAGGGGAGAGATAGCATTAGAGAAATACCTAATGTAGATGACGGGTTATTGGGTGCAGCAAACCACCATGGCGCATGTATACCTATGTAACAAACCTGCATGTTTTGCACCACATGTATCCCAGAACTTAAAGTATATAGAAAAAAAAAAAAAAAGATGAGGTAAGACTGTCCTTACTTCTGGAGGTTGATGGTAGCAGTTGAGTTGAGAATCAAGTACCCAAGGTGAATCAGAATTGAAGTTTAAGAGTGCGTGCTTAAGACACCAGAAGTCACTGCTGCCCATGGTAGCTTGGCAGAGCTTGTAGGAACATGTGAATCTCAAAGGTCTAGGAAGAAAGCCAGCAGAAATCAGGACCCAGCAATGAAAGGAGCAGAAATAGACTGAGAGAGTGGGCCACAGAAACAAGTAAACATGAACAACAGGAAAGTTTACCCTGCTGGCACTGTTCCAAATCTATGCTTCATTTTAGGACATTTTCTATGAAGGCAAGAATCAATTTCCAGCTTGTCTGACTTGAGTGTGGTAAAAGGGCCATGTTTGGTTGAACCTGAGATAAGAGGCGCAAGCAGGTCCTGATAATGGCAAGCCTAGTGTGTATCATCAAAGATGGCACACAAGCTGATTTTAGGGGCCACAAGCCACCTATAACTGTTATGAAACCCAGTGATTTCCAAATATTCTTGAATGCCTATAATATGCAGCACGAAAGACAGAAAGAAACTTTGTTGAAATGGGATTCTGTCAGGAATTTATTTTTAACTTTGTTTTAACTACTATGGCATCAAAATCTTTTGCGTAGTAAAAAATTGTTCTTTCTATTCAAGAAGCAATTGATTATATTATAGGGAATCTTTAATGTAATGTTTAGTAAAAATGTAAAAATTGTGGATATTTTTATTAAGCACACTGAGAAAAGAATTTTGCACTTTAAGATGTATCTATTTGAATGAAGAATAATATTCTAATACCAGTTACAAATTGTACTGAAAAATGAAAGAGAGGAAACATTTAGCCTGGGTGACAAAGGAACCAGTCACTTTCTACTCTGGGTTCTGAGGCTTTGGGTTTTGTTGGAGAAAGGGAATTAGTAGCTTAGTAGCTGTCACCTTGCACACCTCCAGAATGCACCATTTGCATAGTGGTGCATGTAGTGATGTCTCCTGGTGTTGTGCAGCAAGCACAGCCTGCATTGTTAAAAGTAGCAGCCTTGCTACAGGTCTTTCTCTTTAAAGCTTGTTCTACAATGATCTGCATTGGATTTGGCTCTTTCTGTAATCACATTCATATTCTTGGTCTTCACTTTTGCAGTTGTTTAAAGCTGACTTTAAGAACAGCATTTTCAATTTATTTCCATAGCAGCTTTGATAGCCTCAGCATGCTCTTCAGAATGCTTCCTGCACACTAGGCCTTAAGAGCTAACTGTCTTATACATGATCTCTGTCATGCCAGAATTAAATTTCTTCAGCCTAGTATTGCTTCTTTGCTACAAAGAGAGAATGTTATCTTATTTCCTTAAGCAGGAAAAACCACTTTTCAATTAGAGTCATAGCTAAAATTATATCCTGATGTGCAACTCCTTGACACTACTAAATGAATGTTGGCATTACTCTTTATTAATATTACACACAATATTTATAGGCTATATGCCATTTTGCAACACATAGGACATGCTACACTTATGTAGTAATATCAACATGAATAAGACCTAGTCTCTCTCCTCAGGTTACTTTTAGTCTAATAAAGGAGTGATAAGGAGCACAGAAAATTAAAATTCAGGGTGTTCCTTGAGGGAAGTGTATGTAATTTCACTGGCTTCTGGAAGGCAAGTATTCCTATTTGTGTCCTCAACCACAAGCACATACTTTAATAATTATTTGGCAATTAAACAAGTGCTATTCTAGCATATGAACAAAAGGTTCTATTAGCCTGGAATGTGACAAAAGATCTTACTGATTCTTTGAAATGGAAATGGTCCAAAGAGGAAAGAATATTCAATCTTGACTTTCGAAGATAAATAAGATACTGGTAGGCAGAGAAAATAGACAAACCCTCCTGGCATAGACAATAGTGTGAGCAAAAGTATCCATACAAGTTCATTCTCTCTCCCTGGAGCTCTCTTTCCCAGATGTCAGTGCCTCTCACCCCTCACTTCACTCGGGCCTCTCCTCAGATGTCATCCCACCAGAGACTCCTGCCTCATGACCTTTGTTAAAGTAACACTTTATCCATCACTCTCTTTCCCTTTGCCTGTTATTAAATGTTACTTCTTATTACTAACTTAAATATGTACCTAATTTTTCTCCTAATTTTTAGTATCTGTCTCCCTGACTTAAATATAAGCTCCATAAGACAAAGAAAATACTATTTTGTCCACTGTCGAAGCCTCAGATCCAAGAACAATATTTCACGCAGAGAAGATATTTACTAGGAATAATTTTTTTTAATTTGTAGGCAATGAAGTAAGTAGAAACAGGGAAGTATAATTAATTGGGAGCCTTGATTATTAAGGATAGCTTTAACTAAGGAGCATTCCCTTCTCTGGTTCAGCTCAATGAAAAAGTGAATACTTGATCACCATACACTCCACTTGGGAGAAACCCAGGGTTACTACCATCACTCCACCATAGAAGCTCTCTCTGCCCTAACCAAAAAGAGGCACTTCGCTTCTTGTAAGTTGCCAATCTCTTCACATTGGCAAATTCATTTATCTCCAAGCATACTTTTTTACTTGCAAATGGATAGGCCTTATGTTACCCGAAGAAGGTACCTTGGTATCTCAGGCAATGAACAGGGCCAGGGAGCCGCCAAAAGTCCCTGTCCTTTGTGTTAAGCTACCAGGGCAGGTGGAAGAGCAAAGCCAGGTGGGGGCTTAGGCAAATCTGCACTCTTGCTCCTTACATGCAGGCACAAGCATCAGACCCAATGGAGACTGGAGAGCAGTTCTCTGGGCACTAGGGAGACTTTCCAGAAAGGAGCACAGCTGCCTTTGCTGCACAGAAGAATCCACATGGGAAGTGGTGGGTAGCAGGTGGTAGTAAGCCCTACCCAGCTCCCGTGCATTTGTCAAGGTAGGTCTCACATTTGTAGAGTTCCACTAGCAGCAGCTTGCTGGGTTTTAAGCAGCCTGCACTGAGAACTCAAAACTGCCCCAGGCCACAAGCCTTCCCTGCTGAGATTGAAACCATAGATTTGAAAGCACACCCCTCCCCTTTGCCCATGATGCAGGAGCATCCAGCTCCTGCACCCATGGCTACAGCACACTTCCCACTCACCTCTCAGTTCTGGCCAAGGGAGTTTGTCTCCACTCAATATTATATCACATATCCTAATTGGAAGCTTCCCTCACTCTGTGACCATCACCCGAGTTAACTGGTGGACTTCTGCAAGGTCCTCTGTGAGATAGGACCAGTAATGGCTTTCCTCCATCCCCACTGGAGTCTGGGAGTGTACACAAAGCACATCCCCATGCCACTCCTTCTCATCTGCTCCCCACCACTCACTAAATCAGCTCGAGTGATGGCAAGGATTAAGACATTCCCCTGTGGTCTGGATTACCAGGTCTCCCAGAGGGAGCGTGTGTCACAGAGGCAGTCTCTCTCCCCTCACACTCTGGAGACTCACAGTTTTCTGCCTGGCTCATAGTGTAGGCTACAGCCCACCTCTTCTTTCAAAGGGTCTGTGGTTTATTTCAGTGTGTTCCTGTTAAGTTCCTATGTTGCCTCTTGGAAAATAGTTCGCAGCATGAATTTCTACACACTATTTTGTCTTTTCAGGTGGGTGAGGCATGCTAGCCGATGCCTCCAATCCAGCATTGAAATCATCATTCCTGATGCAAGTCAGTGTCTAGCTGTTTCAAAATGCTGAGAAGTTGGCTGGAATTCTACCAAAACTATATGTCAATGAGGTTAAAATTTTTATATATAATATATAACATATATATTTATAATTATATTTAATTCCTTCTTTCTAAGAATGTGGCAAACCGCTCTATTTTAGCTGTTTTAAAATATTTTTCAATATGTTTTTTGAATTAAAAAACAATACCAACAATCAGATATTGTCTAAAAATATGGCAAGATTTAGGAGCTGATAAGCAGAAATTTAGGGATCAAAGCTCTTCATAGAATTCTTGTGATGAATCAAGTACTTTTGCCTATATATCTGATTGGACTGCAATGGAAACAAGGCCTTGTCTCACTCTTAAACGCTCAATGGACATGAGCCATACATAGGCTCATAAGTTTTCAGACTATACTAACTGAAGACAGCACTGATAGGTTAAAAGATTTGTCTAAGTTTAGACATCTAATTAGACATAATGTTAGAAACCAGAACTCTTGTGGCTTCAGTAAAGCAATTCCAGCACTCAAGTCACTCATATCTAATAAATATGTATGTATGTGTCAGTGAGTGAATGGATTAATGAGTCTAAATTTTTCCAACAAGTCAGTTAATTCTTAACATGGGTTTTTGCAGATTTCTCACCCATACATATGCAAAAACTTCTTTGGACACAAGAAATTTAATCTCAAAAATATGACATAGATTTAGTGGCTTATAAATAAGCCTAGACCATACTAGTAACATTTTGACATATTGTTGCTTGGGTACAAGGCCCTTAAGTCCGTCAACTAGTCCCAGTTTCTTGGTCAATAAATAAAAAGAAAGCTTTTTTTATCTGATTATTTACAGGAAAGCCCACTTTAATCATTTTAACCAAATATAACCCATTATTGCTTATTATCCAAGTAGAATTCTCCCAACTATTCTTTAAAACTCTAAGCA
Organism: Homo sapiens; assembly: GCF_000001405.40. Classification (NCBI taxonomy): domain Eukaryota; kingdom Metazoa; phylum Chordata; class Mammalia; order Primates; family Hominidae; genus Homo; species Homo sapiens. The sequence continues at coordinate 89,551,612 of NC_000007.14, forward strand.
GGAAATAGAGTAAGGATTAGGACTGCCAGAAAACAGTACTTCACCTTTGAATACACTTTTACACTTCTTTTAAGATGTAAGAAAATATAAAGAATATAAACTTGACTAACCAGCATTGTAAAGAGAAGCATCATAGCATCATATATATGTATATATATATGTGTGTGTGTATATACATATATATCATATATATGTGTGTATATACACACACACACACACACATATACACATATATGTATATGTAGCTGGGCAGCCGCACGTGTAGTCCCAGCTACTCTAGAAGCTGAGGTGGGAGGTTGAAGCCAGAAGTTCCATGCTGCAGTGCGCTATGACCATGCCTGTGAATAGCCTCTGCACTCCAGCCTAGGCAACATACTGAGATCCTATCTCTTACAAAGGGAGAGAGAGAGAGAGAGAGAGAGAGAGAGAGAGAGAGAGAGAGAAAATTACATTCCTGTCCTTAGCCTTTATTCACATCAGTAAGAGCACTTTGCTTCAACTTTCGGACCCAGTGATGCTTGAGCACATCATTTTTGATTATATGACTTAAAATGATGATTAGGAGAAGTCAGGAGTTAATAGGAGATAGGAATCAAGGAAACTAGATACTATACATATAGCAAGAGTCATGAAAATGACACAGAATACGTTTGGTTCCCATCACCTCTCTTTTACTTATTTGCTGAAACATCATGGATCAGTTACTTAAATTTCTCTGACATGAAGTTTATCCAATGTAATAAAGACACATTCCTGAGAGGACTAAATTGGCAATTTTTGTATATTTCAAGAATACTGTGAGTTTTAATACAGTTGCATCAGCCATATGTGAGTACTGAGTACTTGAAAAGTGACCAGTCTGAATTAAGATATGCTATATTTGTCAGATGAATCCTGGATATTTGAAGACTTAGTAACTAAGCAGCAAAATACATCATTTATAATTTTACATTGACTGCATGTTGAAATGATATTTTAGATATATATATATAGTTAAATCAAATATATTAAAATTCATTTTACTTTTTTTACTTAACATCGCTACCAGAATATTTGAAAATACAAATATTTATATTGCACAGCATTATATGAATATTTTGCCATTTCCCCTCCTAGACCAAAATCACCTTGACAGTAAGGGTTCTCTGTCTTATTTATCTTGTGGTCCCAGGATCTAGTAAAAATCCTGACACAAAGAAGACCTCCAATAAATATGTGTAAAATTTACAATGAGTAAAAATAGTAATTTTAATCAGGAGTTCTTAATGCAGTTTCCTAAAGAAGGATTACCGCCCTTATAAATATACAAACTCAGACCACATTTCCTTGGTTTCCTATCCCATTACTCAGATTTTCAAATAATACTTGTTCTGGTCTCACTGTTTCCCATAACTTATGAGTCAAAGGAGAAATTACAAGTAAAATTAGAAAACATATTGAACTAAATGAAAATTAAAATGCAACATATTCAATTTTAAGCAGTGTCTAGAAGAATATTTATGGCTTTACAAGGGGAAGAAATCCTAAAATTAATTATTTAAACTTCCATCTTAAAATACGGTTTGAAAAAATTAGAGCAAATTAAGCTAAAAATAAGCAGAAGGAATGGAATAATAATTTTAGAAAGAACAGATTCTACTGAAATAAAAATAGGAAAATGAATGTGCCCCAAAGCTTATTTTGAAAGAGCAGAAAAATTGATAAACTCCTAGACAGACAGTTCAGAAAAAAAAGATTCTACAATGAATATTAACACCAAAACAAGAGCCCATTACAAACAATTTACTGTGAATAAATTCAACATAAATACAATGAACAAATCCAAAACTAATACAACACATTAGAATAGAAGATATCTTAAATAATTCATGTTATTTAAGTTAACTGAGTCTGTAGTTTAATACTTTCCACAAAGAAAAGTCTAGACCAATGTGGCTCTAATGGTTAATTGTATAAAAAAAAAAGAAAATGAAATAATATAAATTCCATGCATATTGTTGCAACAACTAGAAGGGGAGGGAGTATTTTCCAATGAATTTTATGAAGCTAGCATTACTATGATAAAACATTGAGACAAAGACATTAAAATTAAAGTACAGATCAATATCTCTCATGAATATAGAAACAAAAATCCTTACGAAAATTTTAACAAATGGAATCCAAAGACAAAAAAAAATTAATACCACCTGACCAAGTGTACAGTTCAAAGATATTTGACAAATGAACAATTCTAGTAGTGCAAGTGTAGTTTAACATTAAAAACAATTAGTGTAATTCACAGTACTAATAGATGAAAAAAACAAAACCGTACAGTTATTTCAACAGATGCAGAATATGCTTTGTCAAAATGTAACACTTACTGATGATAAACAACAAGCACAAAACAGTAACTCATGGAAAACAACTTAACATTAAACTTAATGATGACAAACTAAATGCTTTCACCCAGGATCAAAGGAAAACTAAATATATGCATTTTCAACACACCTATTCAACATTTTCAACATGCCTACTCAACATATAGAAGGACCTAGTCAGTGGAATAATACTAGAGAATCAATATATAGCCTGTGGATAGAAAATGAAGCAAAAAAAAACTATTTTTACTTATAGATGAAATGATTCTTACAAATCCATTAAAAGAAACTAAAATTTAAAATGGGAAAACAAATGACCCTGAAAAAAATGCACAAATGATTCGTACAGACACAATACATAAATTGTTTTAAAAAAATCCTGAAATACGGCTCAGCACTATTAGTCATCAGGAAAATACGTATAAAATCCACAATGATATGCCATTATGCATCCATTACAACAGTTAAATCAGAAAGACGTACAATATCATGTGCTGGCGAATATGTGTAGCAGTCTTATAAATTTCTGGTGGGATTTTAAGTGGTACAACCTCTTGGGGAAACAGCTTATTTCAGTTTCTCAAAAAACTAAACATATACTTATCATATGACTCATCAATCCTATATCTATGCATTTACTAAAGAGAAATAAAAGGCACATATTCACACAGCTTCAACATGCATGTTCATAGAAGCTGTATTCATATAATCAAAAACTGGAAACAAATATCTAGCAATATGTGGGCAGATAAATACATTTTTGGTAATATCTAGATAATGGTTTATTATTTACCAATAAATATGAATGAAGTACTGATAAATGCAGCTACATGATAAATCTCAAAAAACCATTATACTGAGGAACAGAAACCACATATAGAAGAATAATTTTTTTTTTTTTGGCTCAAACAATGGAAGTTTATTTGCTCGTGGATCTGTTTATGTGGAATTCTAGAAAGGGCAAAACTAATCTATAATGTCAGAAAGCAGATTGGTTTTTGCCTTGTGTTCAGGGTGTTTGTAAATGTGCAGGGGAATGAAGGCAGATTTCACTGTAAGGATCATGAATAAATTTTTGTGTATATATTTTATATTTCAAATATAATGATAATTTGTCAAAACTCATTGAAACTTTCACTTGAGTATATTTTCTAATTTATAAATCATGCCTCAATAAACTCATCTGAAAAAAATAGGAATTGGTTGCTAGGGAGAGGGAATAGATATGAAAAAGTTACACTCATGAGAAAAGGCACCTAGGGAGGAACGCATAGGACATCTGTGGGAGTAGTGGCAAGTTCCATTCAATTGGAACAGAAGACAAATGAACAGAAATTGTTGCAACACAAATTAGAACACTAAATAGAGTTAGAACAGTGAAGGTCATAAACATCAGAATAAACATCTCAAACATTATTTGTAAACTGATAAGAATGCATCAATTTTTATTTGCCTTTCTCTGTTTTTCCTCACCTTTCCTCTCTTCTCTCTCCTCCTTTCTTATCTTTTTTTTTCTTTTTTAACATTTGGAGTAACATCCTCAGACAAGTAGATAGACAAGCCTCCAGCAAACAATGGGAGGAAGAATGCCATGATTCCTCCTTAAATTGTAGAAGCTCTCTGGCCTCTGCTGTGCATAATCTGCCTACCCATCAAATCACAAAATTTGTTTGTTTATATAATATCATCCTTTCTCACAGCTTTTATCAGCAGAGTTCTTAAGTTCTCAAGGGAACTGTCTATTTGAGGAACTATAAGGATTGGTCAAATATGCTGGAATACTGCAAAGGCTAAAAAAATGAGATTCTTTATAAGACTATGAATCCAGTGAACTAAATATTAGGCAAGACAACATTGTTTTATCCAGATGGCTAATTTGCATGACTCCGTTTAACACTTGATTTTTTTCCACACACATCTCCTTATTATAAAGACTGTTATAAGAAACACATTACCTCGTTTGGAGAGAAAAATACCTTGCAGAAATCTGGCAGCCAGATTTGAGTCTTGCTATTCATGTTTCTAAAATGAAGGCGAAAAGAGGTTTAAAGGATTTGGGACTTTGAAAAGGCAGTAGCTACTTTGGTAGCCTCCTGTGAATGGTCTTTTCTTAGATTAACAAGCTAGTGAAGTTTTAAATACGAGCTTTTTAAAATAAAGTCTTGCTTGAAAAGTTCAAGATCAAAATTCAGATAGTGTCTCAGTATCACTATTATTTCAAAGTTCAATTACTGTGTGTAATTAAGCATGTTTCAAAGGTTTTATAGAAAATAAAACATTTAGGTGATATGAAATTATAAAAATGTGTTAATATATGATATAAAAATATGATATCAATATAGCAATATAACTGTTGTTACTTTTAATTTCCCATCAAGCAGGGATCCCCAATGTTTGCCTTCAGTCTAAACACTACCAAAATTGTTTTCTATTTGTACATGGCACTCCTGATAATTATTATCTCTACTTAATAACTGTTTTAGCACATTCTTGTAATATCATTGTATCGCACTTGTAAGTGTAGAATAAGATGTCTAAAAAGTAGCACAGTAGCATTATCTGAAGTAGAGGTGAAGCAGCATCAACATTTGGTCATATCTCACACCCTCTCTGAAATACTCACTTCTGTGAACTTGAGCATTGCATGCCCATCATGGTTGCTCTCTCCTAGACAACTAAAGAAAAAAGAAAGTTAGTAAGGAACAGAATAGAAAATTTAATATTTGGGAATTATAGAGATCCACAAACCAAAGGAATTTGTTATTTATATTCTGTCAATATTCAGGCTGAAGCCAAAGAAATTGAGACAGATTTGAATTCTACTTCACTGAGTGTTGCTTAGGAAAGTCACAAACTCTCTTAACCTCAGTAGTATCACCTATGTAAATGATGTGTCAGATAAATCTATGAGAGAACTTTGTAGTATTAAACCATATTACACACAGCTACATGGTAACATCAACATTAACGAAAGGCATGAATATGTGGAGACTTGAATTTGAGTCCTGACAGCAGAATGTGTTAATTTTATGAATTTGGTTGGTTTTCTAAATTTCTCTAAGTCTCAGTTTTCTAATCACTAAATTAATGATAATAATATTTACTTCATAGAATGGTTGTGAAGATTAAGTGATGATCAATTTAAAGTAGCATGCAAAGTAGCTGTTTTTTCCTCTGAAGCAATTCTAAGTGTTGGACACCAGCACAAATAAAGTGACTCCCTCTTCTATAGATTCAAAACAAATGTAGACTCTACAAATATAAGGCAGAACAAAACAAAACAAAACAAAATTTAAAATATATAGTTGCAGGTAGTTTAGCTTCTCTAGTAACCCTAATAACTCTAATAATTACTTCTTCCACATGTTTTTGTTGTTGTTGTTTTAGGTCAGAATGAATACTCTCTCACTAATCAACCTGATGTTTTTCTTCAAAATATTCCAAAATAAATGCTACCCGAGTATGCAAAGGGACCAGTATGCAAATTCAATTCTGTATTCTCCGCAACTACTGTTTTTTTTTAAGAAATAGTTTTCAGAAATTTATCTATGTCCCCGAGTTAATCATTTCTTTACCCATTTCCTTCTGTTTCATATGCTCAGGAACCTAATGCTTTTTTCAATAGTTTAAAAATAATTATTTTCTACACAAAATAAACAACAATTACATGACCACCAAAAGAAGCTTTTAAAAATTCTCTTTTAATTAACAAATTGAGATCTGAAAAGTTTATAAATGATTGAAAAGTAAAAATAAGATATTATCTTGCTTAAAAAAATGAAGCAGCAGGCTGGGCACAGTGGCTCACACCTGTAATCCCAGAACTTTGGGAGGCTGAGGCAGGTGGATCATCTGAGGTCAGGTGTTCAAGACCAGCCTGGAAAAGATGGTGAAACCCCATCTCTACTAAAAATACAAAAATTAGCCGGGCATGGTGGCGGGCACCTGGAATCCCAGCTACTCAAGAAGCTGATGCAGGAGCATCACTGGAACCTGGGAGGCGGAGGTTGCAGTAAGCCAAGATCATACCACTGCACTCCAACCTGGGTGAAGGAGCGAGACTCTGTCTCAAAAAAAAAAAAAAAAGAAAAGAAAAGAAAAGAAAAGAAACAAAGAAACAAAAACAAACAAACAAAAAATGAAGCAGCCTAGAAGAAAAAATGACTTAATAAAAGAAATAAATGAAATAGAGAAATATGAGCCAAATAGGTATTATAACCCTAATATTTTCAATTCTATTTATATAATCCAAATATCAACAATATGCTCTTGTGATAAATCAGATTGAATTATCAGTGACAAGTGGAAGCTTTCTCTGCTGCTAAGTCACGACAGAACTGAAGCAATTTGTTAACTACACATTTTGATGAATTTCTAAAAACTGTTCTATTAATGTATTAACCATTTATAAAAGAGATTTTAAGGAAATATAGAATTTGGGTAAAGTGATCATAAACTTTTGAAAAAGAAACTCTTTTATTATATTAATATGCTTAAGAATGCAATAAAATAACTGGGTCGTAGGAGATCATCCTGGGAATATTATTATTATTATTTGACACAGATTCTCACCCTGTTGCCCAGGCTGGGGTGCAATAGCACGATCTCAGCTCACTGCAACCTCTCCCTTCCGGGTTGAAGAGATTCTCCTGCCTCAGCCTCCTGCGTAGCTGAGATTAAAGGCATGCCACCATGCCCAGCTAATTTTTTGTGTCTTTAGTAGAGATGGGGTTTCACCATGTTGGCCAAGCTGGTCTCGAACTCCTGACCTCGTGATCCACCCGCCTTGGCCTCCCAAAGTGCTGGGATTACAGGCATGAGCCCCGCGCCTGGCCAGGAATATTATTTTACCCAAGAGAAGTTTTAATCTGTCCTAATATCCACAGATCAACAGAATATGGGTATCAATTACTTAAATGAAGAGCTTGATAAGAATTTCCAAAAGGCATGATAGAAAGATAATTGTAAAGGGGGAAACAAAGAAAGATTGGGCTTAAGAATGATTAGTGGAGATCCAAGAGGAGAGCACTTTGTTTGGGGAATGTTATTCACGTCTACAGTAAAAATTAGGGAATTTCATTTGTAAACAGGATGGAATCTACCAGTGTTAATGGTAGTTGTCATGGATACAGTTAAGCTTTTCAAATCATCTGAAAATAATCAGCCTATACCTGTCAATGGAACATTAAGTATAGAGGACCAGAGAAGTGAAGACAAAAAATAAACCATTGGATATTTAGACACTATTCATTCCTAGATCATCAATGAAAGGTTATCTTAATTGCATGATAATTCAAAATTCTTAGTCTTTTAATGTAAATGTTTTTCAGCATTTGTCAAAAAAAGTAAGCAAAACATAAATTAATATATCTCTTTTATCATATATCTATTGACCCTATTCTAAAATAGCAAAATATACCCAAGTTATGGTTCTTCTTTCAAAAACCATGTTTTTGTTGTTTTAACTGAATTTTATATTAAAAGATTCTACACTATTTTTAAATCGGTTAGTTATCCAGTTGGGGAAATGAGGCACATCAACTTTTTACTGCTCCCTACTTTCTGCTCTTTACCACACAGAGCATGGCTAAGCTGCCATAATGAAAAAGACATAAAAGAACAAAAAAAGAGAAGTATGTGAAAAAAGAAAGAGAAGGAAGGAAGGAAGGAAGGAAAGAAGGAAGGAAGGAAGGACAGGGGAAGGAGGGGACAGGAGGCAAGGGGAGGGAAGGGAGAGGAGGGGAGGGGTGGGGAGGGGAAGGGGAGGGGAGGGAAAGGGAGGGGAAGATTAGACAGAGGAAATAAATTTATTTCTCCCTTGAAAGTGACATATAATCCAGAGTAGGTAGGCGGCTCTGCTTAGTGAGATCATTCAGGAACTCAAATTCCTTCTGTCTTCAGGTTTCATTGCTCCCCAAAGTTCTTTTGTGCACTTTTAACAAACTCCCAGATGACATCGATGCTGTTGGTTGGTGCATGGATACACTTTCTGTACAGGAATGTGACTCTGGACTAATAGAGTCGCAACTAGCTAATTAAAATCTAAAATTAAAATATCTTTAATGTCGCTGGCCACAATTCAAATACTCAATTCTCACAGATGACTGGTGGCTATCATTACAGACCTTGGAGACCAAGAACATTTTCATCAGCACAGAAAGTGATAGTAAGAAGGCTGATCTTGAGTATAGTGTACTTGTATAATTTATTATCTTTAGTGACCAATTATTACTATATTTTACACTACTGATACTTTCTAGATTTGGCTAGAGTTATATTTCTTATGTCTTGCTAACAGAAACAAACAATGTTATTCTCATAACTACTTTCTAACTCTCAACTATCATTATATCAAAAGATCTTCCTGAATTTTATGTGGACAGATAGTCTTAACTCTTTGTTTGTATTCCTGAGACCAAGATTTCCCTTGAATTGTTTTTCTACTCTAATGATTTCTTATTTTGTTTCAGTTATTTATTTAACAAACATTTTAAATGCTTACCATAATCATAGTTAATATCTACAAAGACTTTAATATACGCCAAGTATTATAAGCCTTTCACTTTATTTCTGTCTTAAAATTCTTACATCAAAATTAAATATATTATTTTCCTCATTTGACAGATAAGAAATCTAAGAGATCTAAAGAGGGTAGATACGATTTGCCCCCCACCCCACCAAAAAATAAAAAACAGTTAATGTTTGAAATGTGATTCAATGACAAAACTTCATAATCCACCTATTTAACTACTGTGATATTTCCTTTATGCCAGCTATCTTGGTACCTTTACCCTGACTATGAGAAGAAGGGAAGAGGAAGAGAAAACAAAGCATCTGCAAGCTCAATAAGACATGATACATTATCAGGGGATAACAAACAAGCTCATCAATGCTACAGAAATAGGAGTGAAAACTAGTAAATATCTCTACATGTATAGAAACTCAGAAAACATAGTTTAATGATGCACAAACTAAAGCACTTGGGTCACTGACCCAGAGGAATCAAGGGACTAATTATCAACTTGCACATGGGACAGTGATTGCTGCAAACAGAAACCATATTGTCCTGTAGTAACTAATGCCAAAAAGGAATCAGACACACCAATATCCTCTCAACTGGAGAAGAGGCAGGCAAGTAATATAAAAGAGAAAGCCGGGGAAACAGATCTATTTGTAGAATTAGCCCTTTAGAAAAGTAGATTAGAAGAGATAATCAAGCCATGCAAAGTTCACAAAGTCTTCTCTGATTTGGTCAAGTCAGAATTTGAGATCTGAACTAAAATCTGGTCCAAAACCACGGAGTGTAGGAAGCCAATGACAGATAAAATTGGGCTTAAGGTAACAAACTTACCACCGTAAAATCCTGACCAGTATTGAGAAAGTATAGAAAAGGATTCAGCACCCAAGTGACAGAGCTTCAGACATTGTTAGAGTATCACATCTGCAAAAAATAAAGCCAAAGTTCTAGGTAAGGCTTCAACTACGACGACGAGCAACTGTAGTGCCAGGCAGAGCTGCTGAGGCAGAGCCTCAGTCCTCTGCTCCAAGGTGTGGGGCAGAGGGCCATGCAAGTTTGGGACTCTCAAGGCCAAGCGAATGTTCAAGGGTCACATCATAGATACTGGACAACTCAGATATTTGGCAATAAAATGTATCCTATACCTAGCTGGTAAGGTTGGAACTCCTTATATATACTCCTTGAGTAAGACAGGGACTAATTAGTCTGACTCTGTGTAGAGCCCAAGACGGTCTGGGGAAAAGCAACAGTTGGCATTCTACATTACACAAAAGTTGTCCTGACCTCTAATTCTGTCATCTACAAAATTCCTCTGACTTACGTATTACTTGTCAGTCACTGATAAACTGCCTTAACTGTCTTTCTTGCATAAGCTCTTTAAAGGAAAACTAGTATTCATCCGTATATTTTCTAGTAGTTTTTTTTCTCCTTCATACCCATAGAAAATATATTCCTTATATATAGATCACTCATACCCTGAAGTATATCTACACAGATTTTTAAAATACTTATTGTGTCTTCTTAGTAAAAGTCTTTGTGACTTAGGTCATATGACTTTGTTTCAAAATATAAACAATCTCCATTTACAACAGTTAATGCTATTCCAAAGATTTACTTAGGTAGTTACATTTAGTGTATATTAAATTTTGTTTTCTGATTCCTGGATTTGTTATATTTCTTTACAGGATATTCTCTTAATTTTTGAAAGCTATTTCCAAGCTCTTCTTCTCTAAAAATTAAGAATTCACACACAATGGTTTTATTTCTATGGGCTTTTTTTTTAAAAAAAAAATAAATGTTGTTGTGTATATGCGACACTTATAACATGATATTATGGGATTCATATAGGTAATAAAAGGGTTGCTATAATAAAGTAGATTAGCATATCTATCAGCTCACATAGTTACTTTATTTGTGACAAGAACAGCTACAATCTACTTATTTAACCACAATCCCTAATAAATATAATTTTATTAACATTAGTCATTTTGTTGTACATTATACCTCTAAATTCATTCACTCTACATATTATTTTGTATCCATTAACCTGTATCTCCCCATTTCCTTACCTCCTTACCCCAAGCCCATAGTAACAACTGTTTCATTCTCTATATCTGTATGTTTGAACTCTCTTATACACACTCACACACACTTCACATATAATGATCACGCAATATTTTTCATTCTGTGTTGTTTTTGTCTTCATATCAAACATTTATAAACAGGTCTCAGGACTACTAAAATTCAGTCCCACTAATATGTAATTTGTATACACCCACTGGAGAAACAGAAAAGGTAAGAGACTGTAACTACTATAAAGAATCTCAGTTTAACCTGGATGAAGGGAAAAAGACACATGCACAAACAACTGCAATGCAAGTACACAATGATAAATGCTGTAGGAAAACTATAAACATTTCTTGTGGCAGCAAAAAGGAAAAAGTGATTGATTAATTAGGATTATGGTATTAAGAAAGAGAAGCTTTGCAAAGGATATGACATTTGAGTTATGCCTTAAAGGATAGTTACTTCAAAAAGGCAGAGAGGGAAAATGAGGGAAGGGTGAGGGAGAGAAGGATATTTTTGGCAGAGGGAGGAAAGAATCCAAGACCTAAAATTGCATGTTTTATTCAAGGGGCAGGAAATAGCATTCTGTGTCTGAAGTCTGGTGGGGTAAAGAGAAGAGCAAAGCTGTTGGAAGATAGTAGATTCATACAAAAAAAGGCATTGAACACCCAATTGAAATTCCCTTTTAATCCCTAGGAAATGGGGAGCCATACAAACCTGACTCATAATGGGGAATCAGTCAAGAGTATGTTAATATCATATTTGTAGATTTTGATCTCTCCTTTCTAAGATTGCAAAGAGTGTTTTCAATAAAGCAGTACTGTATGGCAGTAAAATGAGTTATTTGACTTTCAAAATAGATTATGTAAGAGATAGGTATGATCTAGTCCAAAGCAGTGGTTTAAAACAAAAACAATAAAAACAATAAAAAGCAAAACAAGCCAGTTAGTGGGGAGAGGGAACATTTGCAGATTGCAGAGAGAGTACTAACAAAGAGCTAAGTCATCTTCCTTAGACTCCATTTGCATATGGAAGACTACATTTTATAGTTTTAGAGAATGAATCAAGGAGGACATAATAAAAGAAACTGGGACTACAGGTAAAGGAAGAGGTGTCAGAAAACACAATTTGTTTGAACATATGGTAGAGGCTTTGATTTCGGCCACACAGCTAGCCTACAATTCCCAACCTCCTTTGTAGTTAATTGGGACATGTGACTGAGTTCTATCTAAGCATATATAGCCTGAGTGATGTGTGCCATTTCCAGGCCTGGCAAAAAAATCCTCCCATGCATATTCCTTGTTCTTTCTCCTTCTGCCACAGAATGCAAGTGACAATGCAGCCCTATAGGGAATAGGAGATGCCTTAGTTCAAGGATAAGATGCATGAGAATGAGATGTACTTTCCTTGTAATGTTCCTTGAGTGATCAATAAACCTCTATTATTTTTGAGAAATTGTATTGTTTTTGAGACAATGAGGTCTATTTGTTTCTGCAGTTTAGCCAAACAGATGAATTGAATTTAAAATTCCTGTAATACAGAGATTACAATATAATGTGCCAAGGTGATAAATAAATAGGATCATAAAGTTCACAGATGAGAAAAACTCAATTCAGAATGAGAAGGCTGAGAGAGCTTCTCAGCGATTGATCTTAAATTGAGGTTGGAAGTTTAATGAAATAGGAAATAACGGGATAGGCATTCCTGAGAATAGGAAAAAGCCACCCAGCTATAAATAAAAGATAGAAGGCCAGGATTTTTGTGGGTTTTATATATTACCAGTTGGATTCTTAGAAATAGAGACAACTTAGTAAGTTTTACTGAGATACAAGAGTTTAAATTCAATTACTAATTATTTTGTTCAAAGGTAGAACTATGAGAGGTTCTTTTGTCCATAGGATCAGGTAGGTCTTTGCTTAAAGAATAGACACTAAAATCATAGGTAATCCTCACAGAAGCTTCAATGCAGCTACCCACCCTCCCTAGACAAAATGGTGAAGCAAGTAAAGAGTCTCCAGAAAAAAAAGTAGTTTCTCATCACACAAATCAGGATGGGGACTGTCAGCAGACAAACAAAAGTAAACGTGTTTTGACAAACTGTGGGTGCCAATGGAAATTGGATCTTTCCTCATTTTGTCAGAGGAGTAAGACAACAGACCAAATTCTTCTTCTGTTTTCTGAATTACTCTCCTTTGCAAATCATATAAATTTTAAAACCAACCTATTAAACTTCCACAAAGGAAGACAGGTGGAAATTTTATTGAGATTACATTAAAGTTATAAATAATTTGTGGAGAACTGGCAACTTTATAGTGTTAAACCTTTCAACCAATATATATCATAAATCTCTATGTTTATTTAGTCCTATTTTAATTGTTCTTGTTGATGTGTTACATCATTTTTTATAGAGTGGTGTTTCTCACCTAGGGACAGTTTTGTACTGATGTTATTGAAAAATCCTGTTGTAGAGGTGGGGCAAATATTTTATTAGTTTTATTTCCTAATATTTTGCTTAGTTTTAGGCAATTGTAAATAGTAACATTCTCTCTATAACCTTTCAGTTTATCACATTAAAAAATATCGTTTTCTAGGTGTTAGTGAATCATAGACATACAATTGATTTCTATGTACTGATCTTGTATCCAGTGACCTTCCAAACTTCACATAGCAGTTATAACTTCTTAATATTTTCTGTATTCACAGTTGTGGCAGATTTGTATCCTTCTCTCCAAGTATTAAATATTTTCTTTTTTCATGTCTTATAATACTGATTAAGAACTCCAATGTGCATGTAATCTAGGAAAGTCAATCTCATAGGAACAGAGTAGCGAGGTGGTTGCCAGAGGCTGAAGGGGAAAGAAAGGGATAAAGAAAAGGGAAATGCTAATTAATAGGTACAAACTTTTAGTTAGACTTGAGGAAAAAGCTTTAGTGATCTAGATCTATTGCACTGATATTTAATCAAGCTAATAACATATCCAACACCTCACCAACTTTTTTTTTGTGGTGAGAATGTTGAAAATACATACTTTTAGCAATTTTGAAATACACAATACATTATTAACTGTGGTCAAATTCAAAAAACTCAGATAAACCCTGGGAGATACTATGGGAGATGACCATCCCCAAGACACATAGTCATCAGATTCTCCAAGGTCAATTCAAAAGAAAAAATCTTAAAGGCAGCTAGAGGAGCAGGTCCCTAACTAAGGGAACCCCATCAGGCTAACAGCAGATCTTTCAGAAAGAAATCTTATGAGCTGGAAGAGATTGGGGGACTATTTTCAATATCCTTTAAAAAAGCCAATTTCAACCAAAAGTTGCATATCCCATCAAACTAAATTTCATAAGTGAAGGAGAAATGAAATCCTCTTCAGACAAGCAAATGCTAAGGGAATTCATTACCGTTAGACCTGCCTTACAAGAGTTCCTCAAGGCAGTGCTAAACTTGGAAATGAAAGAACAATAACTGCATCAGAAAACACACTTAAGCACATACCCCATTGACACCATAGAGCAACTATACAATTGAGTCTACATAACAACCAGCTAACAGCATGATGACAGGATCACATCCTCACATATCAATATTGACCCTGAATGTGAGGAGGCTAAATACCCCACTTAAAAGGCATGAAGTGGCAAGTTGAATAAAAAAGAAAGAATCAACTGTCTACTGTCTTCAAAAGACCTATCTCACAGTTAATGATACCCATAGGCTCAAAGTAAAGTGATGAACAAAGATCTATCAGGCAAATGGAAAACAACAAAGAGCAGGGGGTAGCTATTCTTGTATATGATATTCAAACAGATTTTAAGCAATGATGAAAAAGGACAAAGAAGGGCATTACATAATAATAAAGTGCTTAATCCAACAAGAACACTTAACTCCCCTAAATATATACCTACCCAACATTGGAGCACTGAGATTCATAAAACTGGTTCTTAGAGACCCATTAAGAGACTTAGACAACCATACAGTAATACTGGAGAACGTCAACACTGCACTGACAGCATCAGACAGATCACTGCAGCAGCAAATGAATTAAGATGCTCTGGGCTTAAACTTGACACTTGACCAATTAGACATAATAAATATCTACACAACACTCCAACTACAAACAACAGAATATACATTTTTATCACCTATGCAAGGCATATAAGATGCCTTATAAGGCATATACGATGAACCACATGCTTGGCCATAAAGCAAGTCTCAACAAATTCAAAAAAATCAAAATTATAACAACCATACTCTTGGACTACATTGTGATATAAATAGAAATCAATACCACTAAGATATATTAAAACCGAAAAATTACATGGAAGTTAGACAATCTGCTTCTGAATGACTTTTGAGTAAAAAAAAAATTAAGGCAGAAATTAAAAAATTATTTAAAGCTAATGAAAATGAAGACAACACACCCCAGAATCTTTGGCACACAGCTAAAGTAGTGTTAAGAGAAAAGTTTTTTGTTCCAGGCATGGTGGCTCACACCTGTAATTCTAGCACTTTGGGAGGCCAAGGTGGGTACAGATTGCCTGAGCTCAGGAGTTTGAGACCAGCCTGGGCAACACAGTGAAACCCCGTCTCCACTGAAATACAAAAAATTAGCAGAGTTTGGTGGCATGTGCCTGTAGTCCCAGCTACTCAGGAGACTGAGGCAGGAGAAGTGCTTAAACCAGAGAGGTGGAGGTTGCAGTGAGCTGAGACTGTGCCACTACACTCTAATCTGGGTGACAGAGTAAGACTCCATCTCCAAAAAAAAAAAAAAAAAAAAAAAAAAGAGAAAAGTTTTGAGTACTAAATGCCTACATCAAGAATGTATACAGATCTCAAATTAACAATCTAATGGCATGCCTAGAGGAACTAGAAAAACAAAAGCAAACCAACCCAAAGTTAGCAGAAGAACAGAAATAACCAAAATCAGAGTTGAATGGAATAAAATTCAGATGCAAAAATCCATACAAAACATCAAAAAAAGTTGGTTATTCTAAAGATTAAAGAAGATTGATAGATCACTAGCTAGATTAATAAAGGATAAAAGAGAAGATCCAAATAAACATAATCAGAAACAACAAAGGTGACATTACAACCAACCCCACAGAAAAACAGAAATTCCTGAGAAACTATTATGAACACCTCTTTGCATACAAACTAGACAACCTAGAAGAAATGGACAAATTCATGGAAACACACAGCCTCCTAATAGTGAACCAGGAAGAAATTAAAATCTTGAGCAGACTAACAGTGAGTTCTTAAACTGAATCAGTAATAAAAACCTATCAGCTAAAAAAAAAGCTGTGGACCAAATGGATTCAAAGCCAAATTCTACCAGATGTAAAATGAAGAGCTAATACCAATCCTACTGAAATTATTCAAAAATATCAAGGACAAGGGATTCCCTCCTAACTCGTTCTACAAAGCCAGCATCATTCTGATTCCAAAACTTGGCGGAGACACAACAAAAAAAGAAAAATTCAGTCCAATATCTCTGATGAACACAGACATAAAAATCCTCAACAAAATACAAGAATACAAACCAAATACGAATGAAATCCCACAGCACATCAAAAAGTTAATTCATCATGATCAGAAAACCCAATTTCTTTCAACAGTATTTTTAAATTCTCATTGTGGAGATCTTTCACCTCTGTGGTAAGCTGTATTCCTAGGTATTTTATTCTTTTGTGGCTTTATTCCTGGGATGCAAGGTTGGTTTAACATATGCAAATCAAGAAATGTAATTTACCACATAAAGAGAATTAACAACAAAAGCGACATGATCATCTCAATACACACAGAAAAGGCTTTGATAAAATTCAGTATCCCTTCATATTAAAAACCCTCAGCAAATTACACATTGATATATTGACATATTGAAGGAAGATAACTCAAAATAATAAGAGCCATCTATGACAAACCCACAGCCAGCATCTTAATGAAGGGGCAAAAGCTGGAAACATTCCCCTTGAGAACTGAAGCAAGATAAGGATGCCCACTCTTACCACTCCTATTCATCATAGTATTGGAAGTCCTAGCCAGAGCAATCAGGCAAGAGAAATAAACAAAGGTGATCAAAATAGGAAGAGAAGAAGTCAAACTGTCTCTCTTCCTGGAAAAATATGATTCTATACATAAAAACCCATAGATTCCACCAGAAGGCTTCTAGAACTGACAAACACCTTCAGTCGAATTTCAGAAAACAAAATCATTGTTCAAAAATCAGCATTATTTATCTACACCAATAACATCTAAGCTCAGAGCCAAGTAAAAAACATAATCCCATTTACAATAGCCACAAAATAATAAAATACCTAAGAATACACCTTATCAAGGAAGTGAAAGATCTCTACAATGATAATTTTAAAATACTGCTCAAAGAAATCAGAGACAACACAAACAAGTAGAAAACATTCCATGCTCATGAATAGGAAGAATCCACATTGTTGAAATGGCCATACTTCCCAAAGCAATTTAAAGATTTGTTGCTATTCGTATCAAATTAGCAAAGTCATTTTTCACAGAATTAGAAAAAACTATTCTGAAATTCATATAGATCCAAAAAAATATTCAAATACCAAAAAGCAATAATACTTAAGCAAAAAGGACAAAGCTGGGGTATCACATTTCTCAACTTCAAACTATACTACAAGGCTACAGTAACCAAAACAGCATGGTACTGGTACAAAAACAGACACTTAGATCAATGGAACAGGATACAGAACCTAGAAATAAAGCCACACACCTACAGCCATCTGATGTTTGACAAAGTTGACATTAACACACAATGGGGGAAATAATTTCCTATTCAATATTTAGTGCTGGGATAATTGGCTAGCCATATGCAGAAGACTGAAACTGGACCCCTTTCTTATACCATATACAAAAAGTAACTCAATGTGAATTAAAGACTTAAATGAAAAACCCAAAACTATAAAAACCTTGGAAGATAACTTAGGCAATACCATTCAGGACACAGGCATAAGCAAGGATTTCATTATGAAGACACCAAAAGAAATGGCAACAAAAGCAAAAACTGACAAGTGAGACCTAATTAAACTCAAGAGCTTCTGCACAGAAAAAGAAACTAACAGAGTAAACAGACAACCTACAGAATGGAAGAAAATATTCAGAAACTATGCATCCAACAAAACTCTAATAACCAGAATCTATAAGGAACTTAAATCAGCAAGCAAAATCCAAATAACCCTAATTTTTTAAATGGGCAAAGGACATAAACAGACACCTCTCAAAAGAACACATACATGTGGCCAACAAATATATGAAAAATGCTCATTCTCATTAATCATTAGAAAAATGCAAATGAAAACCACAATGAGATATCACCTCACACCAATCAGAACAATGGTTATTAAAAAGTCAAAAAACAAGAGATGCTGCCCAGGTTGTGGAGAAAAGGGAACGCTTATACACTGTTGGTGAAAATTTAAGTTAGTTCAGCAATTGTGGAAAGCAGTTTGGAGATTCTAGAAGAACTTTAAACAGAGCTACCATTCAACCCAGAAATCCTGCCACTGGGTATACGCAAATGAAAACAAATTGTTACCAAAAAGGCAGATGAACTTGCATGTCCATTACAGAGCTATTCACAATAACAAAGACATGCAATCAACCATGATACCCATCAACAATGGACTAAATAAAGAAAATGTGGCTCTTATACACTGTGGAATACTACACAGACATAAAAAAGAACAAAATCATAGCAACATGGAGGAAGCTGGTTGCCATTATCCTAAGCAAATGAAGGCAGGAACAGAAAACCAGACACCATACATTCTCACTTTTAAGTAGAAACCAAACACTGAATACACATGGACTCAAAGATGGGAACAACAGACACTGGGGAATGCTTGACGGAGTAGGGTGGGCATGGCCCACCCTGTAACCTGATAGGCTACCTATCAGGTACTATGCTCACTACATTGGTGATTGGATCATTCACACACCAAGCCTCAGTGACATGCAATTTACCCATGTCAGAAACTTGCACATGTACCCCCAAACATAAATGAAAGTGGAAAAAATAAATTAAAAAATTAAATAGTAAATAATAAGGTCTCAGTGTTTAAGACAAATATCAGTAGCTGATGTCTTCATCTTATTCACAGTCTCAACTGGAAAGTTGTCAATAGTTTACCATTAAGCATGTCTATAAATTGCCTGTGTGTGTGTAATTTATTAAATTAAGCAAATTACTTTATATTCCTAGTTTATTAAGATTTTTTCCATCAGTAAATGCTGAACTTTATTAAATACTATTTATGTATCTAGTAATAGGATTACATAATGTTTTGCCTTTTATACTTTAATTTTATTAATAAATGAGTACCTTTCCTGACATAAATTAGCAGTTTTGCCAAACAATTAAAATGTTACACTTTTATTTTTAAAAATTTGATTCAAAACCTATTGAAATGCTTTACATGGAAAATTGTAAACTATATTAGAAAAAGTGTGTTTCTAAATGTCTACATTGTATAATTCTATCAAGCTAAGAAAGTTTTTGAGGATCCATAGCTGTACTGGCTTCAAAAACACATAAAAATAAAAACATTTAAAAACATGTTTTCAGAATGCTTTCTCCATAGGATGAGCTTCTCTTACAAACATGTATATTTTTTGCTCATTTTCAAATTGTTAGCTTTAACTCCAAGATATTCATTTTCTAGACTGACCATCCAAAATGTTGGTAATATACTACTTGAGAAATCTGTGGGTAATAAGCATCTCATAAACTTCTAGTGAAAAATAAAAATTGATATTGATATCAATGTTATGGAGGGAAGCTTAGCCATATCTATCAAAATTACCTTGTTTATATCCTTTGACTCATAAATTCCACTTCTCTGAGAATTTAAACTTAAATTCACTTAGACATTTTCAAATGGCATGTGTAAGTCATCGCAGCTTTATTTGTTATAGCAAAACTTTGGAGATAGCTTTGTATCAGTCAGGATAGTCTAGGTTATGGTGAAGTAACAAACACCACCAAAATCTTAGTGCTTTAAAACAGCAAAGTTTTATTTATTACTCATGCTGCATGTTTAGCAATGGGCTTTACAAGGGTAGTGTTCACAGAATCTAAACAGCCACTAGAACCAAAAAGAAACTGCCTGGAATAGTGCAGGCTTCAGTGACAGAAGAGAAAAGAAAACATAAAATCATTATATAAAGATTAAATAAAGATTATGACTACATCAACTATATTTACACATCTTTAGCAAAGTAAAATATATGGCTAATTTGGGCCCTAATGAGAGTACAAATTATGGCATAATTCTCTTTCAAGGTAGAGATTTGAATATTGGTAAACTGTGAGATCTACTGTAGTCTTCCATTCAGACAACCAAATATTTGCTTCCATCCTTCTCTCACATACGCATTCACTTCCTCCAAAGGGAAAATATCCAAACATCTCACCCATTTACTGCTTTAAGCTCAAAGTTCTAGGTCTCAGTCATTTCAGAAGTTCAACAAGTCCAACACCATCTGCCAGATGTACCAAATATAAAGTAGAACAGCCCACCTGCTATGAACATTCCATTCAGATGGACAAATTTACAGCAATTACTTGTATTTAGCAATGCTGATTCACACTGGCCATATACAGAAATGGGCTTCTATACTGGGAGTGGAGCATGTTCCTTGATTGGCTTCTGATTTGTCTTCCTAAGACTAATTCCCAGTCCATCATTCTCCCCAGTCCTTGAGTCCAACCCCTGGGTGGTAATTCTTTTTTCATTTTTCTCCTAGGCTACAACTGAATAAGTCACGTAACAATATAACTTTTTTTTTTTTTTTTTTGAGATGGAGTCTTGCTCTGTCACCCAGGCTGGAGTGCAGTGGCGCTATCTCGGCTCACTGCAAGCTCCGCCTCCCTGGTTCACACCATTCTCCTGCCCCAGCCTCCCTAGTAGCTGGGACTACAGGCGCCCGCCACCACGCCCCGCTAATTTTTTGTATTTTTAGTAGAGACGGGGTTTCACCATGTTAGCCAGGATGGTCTCGATATCCTGACCTCGTGATCCACCCGCCTCAGCCTCCCAGATTGCTGAGATTACAGGCGTGAGCCGCCGCACCCAGCCGACAATATGACTTTTTAATCAATGAGAAGCTTTCTCAGCTCATTTGCTGCCCACAGAGCACTAAAGCAAAATAGTGATTTTAAGTATCAAACAGTGACTGTCCTTTTTAGTTCAGGAAGGTGTTTCTCTTTGTAGTATAACTCAAATAATTTATTGAACTCTTTTCTATTTAATTTCAATCAGCATTATGTACAAATAACCACACTTACAAATTATTCTCCAGACATGCTTCTCCGCATATTCTTAATTGCAGATACCTTGAACTGCCAAGATTTTTGAAGGAAGCCGTATCCTTAGCCTTTTCTTTCACTAAGTCTTCTTTCCAACTAAACAAATGTATTGCTTGCCACTTAATCTGTTCAGTTGTGATAGAAATTGTTATTTGGGCCATAAGTTTTATGTGGTCTTTGCCAAACACTGACATCAAACAATTTTTCTCTTAATTTTACCTTTTACTGTCATAAATCAAGACAATTTCCCCTTGCAAACCTCATATCCTAACTTTTATGACTGTTTTTCTTCTTTTCCTTCTCTCCATAAAACCAGCAATTCTGCCCTGGGCTTATCGCTCTTTGTAATTCATTTTCAAGCACAGTCAACAGTAAACAACCTATACTACTAGTATTCTTTTACCACACTTTTCACCAACCAAAAAGGACATTATTGACTTCCTAAGTTGTTGCAGGTGATGGTTTTAATACTGGTTCTTCAAAGCATAATATAAACCCCCATCTTTACAGATTTAACAACACTTTTCTTGCCACTCATTGCCCAAACAAAATGCCAATAACATATTGTTAGGTTCTATGTTTTTGTAGCACAAAAATTCTGGTACCATTTTTTATATCAGTCATGATTGCCTAGATAATGCTATAGTAACAAACAAAAACAAACTCTTTGTAGATTTTAGTAATAAAAGTTAATTTCTCATTCACACCAGATGTCTAGCATGGGTCTTAAATATTGTGCTCTATATAGATTCCAGGTCAAAAAGAATAAAACATCTGGAATTGTACTAGTTTTATTGTCTGGTGAATTAAAAAAGGAGGAGGAGGAGAGGACAAATAAGAAAAATGAAAGAGGAGGAGGGGAACAGAAGTAAGGAAGAATATGGCAAAACATTTACTCTCTTAAAATTTCTACCATAAGTGAATTTTAGCACTATCATTCATAGTTCATTGGTCAAAATTAGATATGTGGCCAGGTCTTTTTCACAAGGACAGAGTAGAATGATGCTCAGGAATTGGAAATGAATATAGTGAACATAACAAAGTCTACCTACCACAAATAAATGTTCATCCATAGGCAACTTTAATTAATTATGCTAAATCTGTATAAAGCAGTATCAAAAAGCTATTTAAGAAAAAGAATGAAGATAGACTGGGATATTAATAAAGATCTACAAGTCTAATGTCATTTGAAATAAATTAAGAGCAGTATGTATAATATGGTTCATTTTGTGAAATAAAAGGATGGGGGGAGAAAAATACACATTCTTATACTCTTATAAAGTCATAAAAAAGTGTGTAAGAATAAATCAGAAACTAAAAAGACTAGTAATGTATGTGCACAGGGAATTGATTAAATGAAGGATAAGAAGACAATGCAGACTGTTCATGAGATGATAGTTTTGATTTTTGCATTTTGAGCCACATAAACGTATTTGCTACTCAAAAGTTCTATTTAAAATAGTAAGCTACATTTTGAAGAAAAAGAACGTTTGCTTTGCATTTATAACTATAACTATCTACTAGTGAGTGTATTCCTGACAGCCACATCACAGAGAATGTCAATTCATTTAGAACACCAGGTGTTGGTGAAAAGAAATTGTTGAATTTATTTCTCACTCTACCGTTTTGTTTGTTTGTTTCTTCATTATGATATTCAGGTAACTCTTTAAGGTAACAAGAGTTTCAGAGCATTCTCTATATCATTGCATAGTATTTTAAGTATTTTAATATTCAAGGTCTTGTTCCTATAACACTAATCACAATTAATGATATTAATGTAGTATTTTGTGTACTTTGTTTTTGTTTTAAAAATGTTCCTCTGAATTATGTAGGGAATAAACTTCAGATATATAGCTATAACTAAAAACTTACACTAGAATTCTTTTAAAATTCCAGACAAAATAGCTCCAATGTTGATTATAACATTTGCAAATTTTTACCTTAAAATATTTTATATAAAGGAAACATTTATGGTCAGTAACATTTCTTTTCTAGTACATCTTTAACATACCATGAAAAACATAATTTATTATAAAAGTCACTAATAATACAAAGTACGTGTCACACAATAATATGAGACTGAATTTGAAAATCTAGCTGTATTTTTCAGCCATGGTCTAGCAACACTCCCAAACTGAGTATATTGCTTTACTATATTGTTTTAAATTAATTTCATGTGTTTGTTTCTTTAAATTTCAGAATTTTTTGTTTGTTTGTTTTCCAGCACTGATCTTTGTTTATATCCATATTCCAAATTCTATTTCTGTCATTTCAGCCATCTCAGGCCAGTAAACAACCCTTGCTGGAGAAGAGTGGTCATTTGAAGAAAAGAAGACTCTGTTTTTTTGAGTTGTCAGAGTTCTTGTGCTGGTTCTTTCTCATCTTTTTGGGCTGATGTTTCTTCAGTCTTTGAAGTTGTCCTTTGGATGGTTTTCCAAGAGAACATTGAAACCAAATCTAAGGAAGCTAAGAATCACAATAAAAAGATATAGCAGTTGAAAGACAAAATAGCCAGTATAGAAAAAGTGTAACTGACCTGAAAGAGTTGAAAAACACACTATAAGAATTTCATAATGCAATCACAAGCATTAACTGCATAATAGACCAAGCAGAAGAAAGAATCTCAGAGCTTGAAGGCTGGCTTTCTGAAATAAGACACTGTTGGTGGGACTGTACACTAGTTCAGCCATTGTGGAAGTCAGTGTGGCAATTCCTCAGGGATCTAGAACTAGAAATACCATTTGACCCAGCCATCCCATTACTGGGTATATACCCAAAGGATTATAAATCATGCTGCTATAAAGACACATGCACACTTATGTTTATTGCAGCACTATTCACAATAGCAAAGACTTGGAACCAATCCAAATGTCCAACAATGATAGACAGGATTAAGAAAATGTGGCACATGTACACCATGGAATACTATGCAGCCATAAAAAATGATGAGTTCATGTCCTTTGTAGGGACATGGATGAAGCTGGAAACCATCATTCTCAGCAAACTATAGCAAAGACAAAAAACCAAACACCGCATGTTCTTACTCATAGGTGGGAATTGAACAATGAGTACACTTGGACACAGGAAGGGGAACATCACACACTGGGGCCTGTCATGAGGTAGGGGGGAGGGGGGAGGGATAACATTAGGAGATATACCTAATGTTAAATGAAGAGTTAATGGGTGCAGCACACCAACATGGCACATGTATACACATGTAACAAACCTGCACATTGTGCACATGCACCCTAAAACTTAAAGTATAATTTAAAAAAATTTAAAAAAAGAATAAAGAATAAAAAATGAAAAGGAAAGAAACAAAACCCTCGTGAAATATGGGGTTATGTAAAGAGACCAAATGCGTAACTCATTGTTGTCCCTAAAGGAGTTGGGGAGAGTGTAAACAACTTGGAAAACATATTTCAGGATATTATACATGAGACTTCCCCCAACCTAGCTAGAGAGGAAAACAGTCAAATTCAGGAAATGCTGAGAACCCCAGCAAAACACTTCACAAGAAGATCAACCACGAGACATAATCATCAGATTCTCCAAGGTAGAAATGAAAGAAAAAATATTAAAGGCAGCCACAGAGAAAGGACAGCCCAACTACAAAGGGAAGCCCATCAGACAAACAGAAGATTTCTCAACAGAAATTCTATAATCCAGAAGATATTGGGGGCCCATATTCAACATTCTTAAAGAAATGAAATTCCAGCCAAGAATTTCATGTCAAGCTGAACTAAGCTTCATAAGAGAAGGACAAATAAGATCCTTTTCAGTTACCAAAATCCAGAGGGAATTCATGACCACCAGACCTGCCTTACAAGAGCTCCTGAAAGAGACACTAAATATAGAGAGGAAAGACCATTACCAGACACTACAAAAACATTCTTAAGTACATAAACCAGTGACACTATAAAGCAACCACACAAACAAGCCTGCAAAATAACCAACTAACAACATGATGACAGGATCAAATCCACACATATCAATACCAACCTTGAATGTAAATGGGCTAAATGCCTCCAAATAAAAGGCACAGAATGGCCGGCTGGATAAAGAAGAAAAATCCAATAGTATGCTGTTTTCAAGAGACCCATCTCGCATGCAGTGACAACGATAGGTTCAAAATAAACGATGGAGAAAATCTGCCAAGCAAATGAAAAACAGAAAAAAAGCAGGAATTGTAAAACTAATTTCAGACAAAACAGACTTTAAACAAAGTTCAAAATATACAAAGAAGGGCATTACATAATGATAAATGGTTCAGTTCAACAAGAAGAACTAACTATCCTAAATATATATGCACCCAACACAGGAGCACCTAGATAAATAAAGCACGTTTTTAGAAACCTTCAAAGAGACTTAGACTTCCACACAATAATGGGAGGCCTGAACATGACTTAAATCCAAGAGCTGTGTTGTTGAAAAAATTAATAACAGAGACTGCTAGCTAGTCTTAATAAAGAAGAGGAAGAGAGCAGATCCAAATAAACACAATTAGAAACAACAAAGAACATATTACCACTGACCCCACAGAAATGCAAACAACCATCACAGACTACTATGAACACCTCTATACACACAAACTAGAAAACCTAGAAGAAAAACGTTAAGTTCCTGGATGCATACACCCTCCCGAGACTGAACCAGGAAGAAATTGAATCCCTGAATAGATCATTAATGAGCTCCAAAATTGAATCAATAATAAATAGCTTGCCAGCCAATAAAAGCCCAGGACAAGATGCATTCACAGCAAATTTCTACCAGATGTTTGAAGAAGAGCTGTTACCATTCCTACTGAAACTATTCCCAAAAATTCAGGAGGAGGGACTCTTTCCCAACACATTCCATGAGACCAGCATTATCCTTATAGCCAAACCTGGCAGAGACACAACAAAAAAAGGACACATAAAGCCAATATCCTTGATGAACATTTATGCAAAAAACCTCAACTGAATACTAGCAAACTGAATGCATGAGCATATCAAAGAGCTAATCCACCATGATCAAATAGGCTTCATCCCTGGGATGCAAGTTTGGTTCAACATACACAAATCAATAAATGTGATTCATCACAAAAACAGAACTAAAGACAAAACCCACATGATTATCTTAATAGATGCAAAAAAGGCTTTTGATAAAATAAAATATCCCTTCATGTTAAAAAATTTAAACAAACTAGGTATTGAAGGAACATACTTCAAAATAATAAAAGCCATCTATGACAAACCTACAGCCAAGATCATACTGAATGGGCAAAAGTTGGAAGCATTCCCTTTGAAAACTGGCACAAGACAAGGATGCTCTCTCTCACCAATCCTATTCGACAGAGTATTAGAAGCCCTGGCCAGAGAAATCAGGCAAGAAAAGAGATAAAGGACATTCAAATAGTAAAAGAGGAAATCAAACTATCCCTGTTTGCAGATGATATGATTCTGTCTCTAGAAAATCTCACAGTCTCTGCTAAAAAGCTCCTTCTGCTTATAAACAACTTCAGCAAAGATTCAAGATACAACACCAATGTACAAAAATCAACAGGAAGACTGAGAGCCAAATCAGGAATGCAGTCCCATTCACAATTGCCACAAAAAGCATAAAATACCTAGGCATACACCTAACCAGGGAGGCAAAGGATCTCTACAGTAAGAATTACAAAATACTTCTCAAGAAACCAGATATGACACAAACAAATGGAAAAACATTTCATGCTCATGAATAGCAAAAAATAGAAATTGTAAAAATGGCCATGCTGACCAAAGTAATCTACAGATTCAATGCTGTTACTATCAAACTACCAATACCATTCTTCACAGAACCAGAAAAAGTTCTTTCAAATTTATATAGAACCAAAAAAGAACCTGAATATTCCAGGCAATCCTAAGTAAAAAGAACAAAGCAGGAGGCATCATGCTACCCAACTTCAAACTATACTACCAAAACAGCTACCAAAACAGCGTAGTACTGTTACAAAAACAGAAACATAGACCAATGGAACAGAATACAGAGCCTAGAAATAAGGCCATACATCTACAACTATCTGATCTTTGACAAGCTTGACAAAAACAAGCAATAGGGAAAGGACTCCCTATTCAATAAATGGTGCTGGGATAACACACTAGCCCTATGTGGAAGATTGAAACTGCACCCCTTCATTACACCATACACAAAAATTAACTCAAGATGGATTAAAGACTTAAGTGTAAAACCTAAAACTATAAAAACCCTGGAAGAAAATATAAGCAATACCATTCAGGACATAGGAACGGGCAAAGATTTCATGACGAAGATGCCAAAAGCAATTGCAACAAATGCAAAAATTGACAAATGGGATCAAATTAAACAAAAGAAGATCTTCTGCATGGCAAAATAAACTATCAACGATTGAACAGAAAACTTACAGAATGGGAAAAACTTTCTGCAAACTATGCATCTAACAAAGGTCAAATATCCAGCATCTATAAGGAACTTAAACAAATTTACAAGAAAAAAACAAACAACTCCATTAAAAAGTGGGCAAAGTGATGAACAGACACTCTTCAAAAGAAGACATACATGTGGCCAACAGGCATATAAAAAAGCTCAACATCACTGATCATTAGGGAAATGCAAATCAAAACCAAAATGAGATACCATGTCATACCAGCCAGAATAGTATTATTAAAAAGTTAAAAAATATCAGATGCTGGTGAGGTTATGGGGAAAAGGAAACACTTATACACTGTTGGTGGGAGTGTAAATTGGCTCAACCATCATGGAAAGCAGTATGGCTATTTCTCAAAGAGCTGAAAACAGAATTCCCATTCAACCCAGTAATTCCATTACTGGGTATATACCCTAAGGCAGCAGTCCCCAAAATTTTTGGCACCAGGGACCTGATTCATGGAAGACAATTACTCCACAGGCAGGGCGGGGGGTGGCAGGAGTGGATGGTTTTGGGATGACACTTTTCCACCTCAAATCATCAGACATTAGATTCTCATAAGGAGGAGCTCACAACCTAGATCCCTTGCATGCTCACAATAGGGTTCACAGTCATGAGAATCTAATGCTGCTGCTGATCTGACAGTAGGCAGGGCTCAGATAGTAATGCTCCTTCTCTGCCACTTACCTCCTGCTGTGCAGCTTGGTTTCTACCAGGCCATGGACTGGTACTGGTTCGTGGCCTAGGGTTTGGGGACTCCTGGCCTAATGACTATAAATCTTTCTATCATAAAGATGCATGCACATACACTTCTCCTTATGAGTACTATTTACAATAGGCAAGATATTGAATCGACCTAAATACCTATCAATGGTAGATTAGATAAAGAAAATATGGCATATATACACGATGGAATACTATGTAGTCATAAAAAAAGAATGAGGTCATGTCCTTTGCAGGAACATGGATGAAGTCAGAGACCATTATTCTTAGCAAACTAACACAGGAATATAAAACCAAATACCACATGTTCTCATTTCTAAGTGGGAGCTAAATGATAAAAGCACATGGACACGAAGAAGGGTACAACAGACTTTGGGCCTAAAAATTGAGAATGGAGGATGGGAGGACAGAGAGGAGCAGAAAAAAATAACTATTGAGTACTAGGCTTAGTACCTGGGTCATGAAATAATCTGTACCACAAACCCCTGTGACATGAGGTTACCTATATAACAAACCTGCTTTGTACCTCTGAACCTAAAAGTTTAAAAAGAAAAAAACAATAATAACCAACATTTTAATGTAAACATTTTCAGTCTCACACTGAAAGTGTTTGAGTGAAACAAAACATTTTCCTTTAAAACAAAAACATTTAAAACATTTCATTTCATTTAAAATATTTTTGTATAAAAACAAAAAATAATCAGATTTAATTTTGAGTTATTTATTTATTTATTTTTATTTATTTTTTTGAGATGCAACCGTGTTGGCTAGGCGGGTCTTGAATGGCCTCAAGAAATTCTCGGCCTCCTGATTAGCTGGGGCTTCAGGCACGTGCTACCACACCCAGGCTCATAAGTAAACTTTCTCAATAGTGAAATTAGGCCACTTCTCAGAGAATATGTATCAACTATTTATATTGCCACAAACTCAGAATTAGAGTTAAAAGGGCAGAATTTAGTGCTAGAAAAATCTGTAGGTGTTATCAGAGTAATGTATTTTAAAAGTTAATTTTCTAAATAAATAGTGTTTGCATCTTTCTTGATAGAAATTCACACAATTTCAGTGATGGTCTTAAAGGTACTTAGGGCTTATTATATTATTTATCCTTATACTACATGTTCTCAGGTTATCTTAAACATTTTTTAGCTCCTCTGCTGATAGCATTTGGTCAAGTTTCTCACTCCCCTTGTATCATTACATTGGCTCCTGGTGGTGTTAACCCACTCTTACTTATGGTTTCCAATTACCAGAGACCTGGGAAACAAAGTAACCAATCTTGTTACTCTAAATACATATATCTGTGAGTGGATATGTGGGCTCTGAGTTATTAGGCCTCCTCCTTTCTAATAAAATTTTTGGCCTTTTGTTCATGGGCTTGTGTCACTTATTTCATGCTGGTTTTATCAGACAAGGATTGTAATGGGTATTTTAACCACTAGAGAATATTTTCTCATCTCATTTCAGAGCCTAAAGCTGTTTCCTAGGGATTTGAAATTGTTACTGACTCAACTCTGGGTAACTGCTAAAAAAATTAATGCATTTAAAAAATATTTTCATACTGTCTGATAAAATGAATTGTAATTATATTTGTTTTTTTCTACAAAAAGCAACAAATGTTATTTTCTTTCAAGGTCTTGCTAAGACTTTGAATGATTTTGCTTTTTGTGTTTATAATACGACTATTCTTATTATTCCAAATAGCAAGGCAAGTACTTACACAGAAAATAATTATGTTTTACCTATCCCACCTATGAAGAGAAATATTTAAAAGTAAAACAGTGAAGTCTTAGTAATAGGACAGCAAAGCATTGACTGAGGCTCGAGATGGGGACTTTCATTCTCATCTCACAGATCCTTGCAACACAAGCAAAGTTCTATTGACTGTAGTAACAAAAGGAGTGAATATTTACTTAGCCATTTCTCTCATAGCCAGGTATGTTAGTACTTGATTCTCCCCTGCCTAAATTCATCATTAAATGTGTATATACGAACATACTTTGGAATCTTCAGGTAACTTAACTCAGGGAATAGATTATGTATAAAATAAGTTGATTTATTCAACAACATATCAACTTCCAAATATCCAAAAGTAGTTATCTATCTTACTGTGAGTTTTCTCTAAGAAATTTTTACCTTTACACAGATTTAGAAAATTTTAATTTCCAGCCCTCCTTTTATAAATATTTGAAGCAACAAGTTTTAGTTTTACACTAAGAAACATGTATCATTTTCATTTGCAAAGGTATGCTTTGTAAAACAATATGTTAAACAAATTCCTCACTTGGATATAGTAATCCCCATTTTTGTTGATCAATATCTAAATGTTCTGATTTCCTTCATGAATGTGAGTGAAAACTTTATAGGGAATATAAACATGGAAACTAAATAAAGATTTTCTTGTTCAGTTGTTTATTGTATGCATGATAATCAATAAAAATGACTCATACAATGCATTTGAAATTAAAGAAATGTTAATACATATAAAAGCAACAATTTCCCCCAATATCATATAAACGTGTTTTTGGGAAATGAAAATTCATTGTATGTTTAACAAGTGGTAAATGATGAGAGGATTTTCAATATGGATGAGTCTAATATTTATAGAAAATTGTTATTTTATATAAGCATTTATTTCTCTGCTTCTAGAATAATGTAACATTTCCTGAAGTATATGGCATTTAGAATTTGAAAATAAGCTCTTAAGAACAAAGTGATTATTTTACTTATATTTTGGGCTTAAAGGGTAAAAGCTCTGTTTCAGCCCACAAAAATTATTGTTTTCTATATGCTTCTTGGGTATATTATTGTAATTCAAAAAAAGACTGAAAATAGAGGCGTAAAATAGTTTCTGCTTACATGCTGTGAAATTCTCACCACAAGATTTTAAATTGAACTTGCTTAACAGGCAGAGAGAACCGTCTTCTTTCTTCAAAGACATAAGGACTTGTTCAGTAAGAGGAAAAGGTCTAGCAGCATTTTCAGAAAGGGGCACATTGAGTGCCTCTGTGATTCTTGCTCATATTGGCTCTACTCCTAACATCAGAACATGCCAAAGAAGAACATGTGCATGTGACAAGCAAAAGTAAGTTAAAGAACAAGCTAACCTAATGGCCTGGAAGAAGTATCTTAAAATGATAACATCATTTGATTTGCACATTTTGTGGTCTGAAAGTCCAAGACAACCAGTGCTTACAATATTAAGTATATTTCTTAGTCTGCTATATGTAAAACTAGATATAAACTTGCTTTCACCCTGAAACAAGGTTTGGGCCTTGTTTAAAATTTCTGAGTAGCAAAGTACTACTCCAGTAGCAAAGTGCTTTCATCTAAAGGATAGGGAAATATTCGCCTCTATTATTTAAGTTTTCTATAATAAAAATGTATTCTATTTAGCCCTTGAATACAGCAAAAGTGTTTTAATAAGAAATATGCATTTTAACTCTAATCAGACATTCAAATCATAAGAAGCCTTTTCTATATTTGGTAGCTACTCTGGCTAAAGTACTGTTTCAAATTTGTGCACTTTCAGATGTGGTAACTACAAGAAAAAGATCAATTAGCTCAAACTGATAATGCTTCCATGTATCAATTTGACACTTTAGGAACTACTTGCTTAGATTCTACAATGTGAAGGGATAGTTGTTAATTCATGACAGGAGAAAAGTATGTTGAAGAATTTAGACAAATAGAATGATTAGACAGGACAATCTGAATGTGAGGTACTATCAGGGGAACCAGCCCCCAGTATTTCAACGTAGGTTCTATTTTCCCTAAGTGTTGGCTGGTCTGAGAAATAAAGAGAAAGAGTACAAAGAGAGAAATTTTACAGCTGGGCCTGCGGGGGTCACATCACATATTGGCAGGTTCCATGATGCCCATCTAAGCTGCAAAACCAGCAAGTTTTTATTAGGGATTTCAAAAGGGGAGGGGTGTATGAATAGGGAATAGGTCACAGGGATCACATGCTTCAGAGGGCAATAAAAGATCACAAGGCAGAGGGCGAAATTAGAATTACTGATGAGGTTCCATGTCCTGCTGGGCACGCATTGTCTTGATAAACATCTTAAAAGGAAACAGGGTTCAAGAGCAGACAACCGGTCTGACTCGAATTCACCAGGCTGGAATTTCCCAATCCTGGTAAGCCTGAGGGCACTGCAGGAGACCAGGTTGTATTTCATCCCTTATCTTCAACCACATAAGACAGACACTCCCAGAGCAGTCATCGATAGGCCTACCCCTGGGAATGCATTCCTTCCCCAGGGTTATTCCTTGCTAGGAAAAGAATTCAGTGATATTTCTCCTGTTTGCTTTCTGCCAGAAGAAAAATGTGACTCTATTCTGCCCAACCCCGTGGGCAGTCAGACCTTAAGTTTATCTTCCCTTGTTCCCTGAAGATCGCTGTTGTTCTGTTCTTTTTCAGGGTGCCCTGATTTAATATTGTTCAAACACACGTTTTACAAACAATTCTTAGGGTTAATGCAATCATCACAGAGTCCTGAGGTGACATACATCCTCAGCTTACAAAAATGACAGGATTAAGAGATTAAAGTAAAGACAGGCATAGGAAATTATAAGAGTGTTGATTGGGGAATTGATAAATGTCCATGAAATCTTCACAATTTATGTTCAGAGATTGCAGTACAGACAGACATAAGAAATTATAAAAGTATTAATTTTGGGAACTGATAAATGTCCATGAAAACTTCACAATTTATGTGTTTCTGCCATGGCTTCAGCCGGTCCCTCCGTTTGGGGTCCCTGACTTCCTGCAACAAGGTACCTCTAGAAAGAGATGAAAAGTGCCATCATAATGCAATGCTTTGAGCTACTCCAAGATACAAAACATAAAATTAACCCATAGAAAAGTATTTCAAGTAGATTAAATCATCATGAAAACAGAAGACAATCTTGGACCTTACATAGAAGAAATTTGGTTTATTATTCATTGGAGAAAGCTCATAGAACTCTGACTCAGCCTTCACAAGTGATGATGTAAGACCATTCTGCCAATGCAGCCTACTTCTCCCTGCGCCCCAATGCCTCTCAGATCATAAGATGAGAATGCTTTGCCTCACTGCTTACAAGGTACACTGCTCACTTCCCACACTGGAGCTTTGCTGTGGCCTCTGATGAATGAAACCTATAGGACTCCTTTGACACCCAGCCTACAGGCAGACAGAAAGCTGCTAGCTAATATTTGCTTGCTAGCTGGCTGTGGGTGCTATAATGTTATGGGTCTGGTTGCCCTAGAGTCTATAACAAAATCGCAGTTTAGAGGAGCCAGATAACATCACAAGAAAATGTTAATGCCTTTT
Source organism: Homo sapiens (assembly GCF_000001405.40). Classification (NCBI taxonomy): domain Eukaryota; kingdom Metazoa; phylum Chordata; class Mammalia; order Primates; family Hominidae; genus Homo; species Homo sapiens. Next base: position 89,585,361 of record NC_000007.14, read on the forward strand.
GGAGGTAACTGTAACCAATAATAGATGGGAGACGGGAAGAAGCCAGAACAAATTATTTTCTCTTCTTCTCCCCCAGAAGTTACAATATTTTCATTGTAACCAGCTGTGATTTCTTGCAAAGCTGTGGCAGCTCCACAATGCAGCACTTTGCTTCTCTGCCTTGCTCTCCTTTTATCCTCACTTTTGTTTCCATAAGATTGCACTCACCCACTCACATACATATTTAATAAAATTAGCACCTATGTCTTACCTCAGGAAACATGTCTTACATGTCTTTCCTTCTAGGAAACCTAAATAATCAAGAAAGGGATTTTCAGGAAAAATACCAAAGAGCCCTTTCCTTTGGAAATATTTCTCTCAACTATGTATAAATGAGAGAGATAAAATTGTAAAATAGAGCAAGTAAGAATTATGCAAACAGTAAAATAAAACAAAACGTAAGAATACTACATCAGCCATGAAACTCAACAGTTGTTGCAAGAATTAAAATATTAGCTAAGTTGCTTTACTTTGGATCAGAGCTTGACAGCGTAAGTTGACTTATAATCTGTGGTTCATTTACAGCCTAGGACAGTTTGATAGAGGGAGCTAAAAGTCACTACTGGTAGAATAAAGGAATAGGAAAATTAGACATACACAACATTTTGAAGGATCTATTTATTCTTCTTTGATTTCAGTGTTTCTAGTTAGCTTCCAGTTTTCTAACATTTCTCCAATGTGGTTTTCTACATTGGCATACTCTTTCCTCTTTCCTCTTCTTAGATATATCTAAATTTCCTGTATCTTTAACATAAATTTAGTTGGCAATAGGGAAAGCATTCAATCAAAACATTTACATGAATTTTTAGTGATGATCATACATTTAATCCTTTGGGGGCAGTTGAATTGTAGAGACAGAATTGCTTAATCAAGAGTAACAAATATTAAATAGTGCATGATAGTTGGGTAATGTTAACGTTTCTAATCATCATAAGTAATCTCACTGACATATTCTTCTAGAAAAAGAAGATACAATATTTATTCCTCTTGCACTCTTATAGTGTTCTCAAAATATTTTTTTAAAGTCATTCTTAGTTTTTATTTTCTTATATTCACAATGCTTAATAAGATTTTGTAGACTCTCATGCTGAATGCATGTAATGTGTAGATTCAACTGTGCCTAGTTTAAAACACAAGCTATGGTCATCTCTTTGTGAAGCTTAAATATGTGTCTGTCTTTTATTCCAATTGAGTCCCTGGTAACTCACTTGTGTAACAATTATCACAGTTTCCACACCATTAACTACATTTAACTAAATTAACTACATTTTCTATTAAGAGATTTGAAATTATTTGAGGAGTTTTTATGAAATTCCTAGAACTCTACATGCTGTTGGTAAATCCTAACCAGGATTTACCTGAGACACAGCCTTCCAGAGGGACCATCATCACCAAGATGCAAAACATAACATCCTTCTGTTCATCTACTCATCAACACCATTTCTCACCTGCCATGATTTCCCAATAACTCATCCCTCTTGTAACTTATTATCTGAAATTAGTAAAATCAAGTTATCTCCCACTTCTTCTATAAAGCTCCATTTGCACATTTTGTGCTGATTGAATTCTTGCTGTAACCCAGAAACAATGTTTCTCTTGAAATTCTCTCAAACAAAGGTATTCTTCCTCATTCTTGACAGAACTCAGAGACTGAGTTATTCCACATTTCCTAAAAAAATATGATTTTGCTGAAATTCTTTTTTTAGACTATGCTATCATTTGCCTTTATTTGTTGAAGATTTTAGCCTTCTTCACAATTGGACCCAAAATTCTTGAAAATATCAACCTCCACCTATATCATTCATCCAGAATTTCTGCCTCTCATTTCCTTGACCTCCTCACTTTCTACAACGGGTTATTTTACCTCAACTCAGTCATGTCCTCTCATGAGCAAATTTAGACTTTGTCATCAGAATTATCATGCAACCTCCATAATTTCAGAATACCACTTTCTATATCTCCAGTTAATGTGCACTAGAAATAATACCTTGCTCTATCAGGTCTAAGGAAGGAAACATGACTCTCATTTCTGCCAGCCAATGATTAGGTAGGACTTACTGCCTCTGCGTTATCAGTGAGTACCACTCAAGAGAGCCAAAACTCTCATTTCCACCAAGCAGTAATGAGAACAACCCCCTTAAGCTTTAATAAAGGTAAAGTGGAGAAAACACACTCTATATATACCTAAGAGTAATAAGAAAACTACCCTTTTCCCTAGCCGAGACAGTGGCCATAGACAGCCAACTAAATGGAAGGACTAAGATCCAGATTCTCATAAGAAAGTACCCCAAAATGTCCATATTTAAATGAAAAATCAATCATCATCTCAAGGACAAGAAAAATATCAAACAGAATTTAGAAAGATAATCAGTAGATGCTGGCTGAGTGCAGTGGTTCATGTCTGTAATCCCAGGAATTTGGGAGGCCAAGGCACGCAGATCACTTGTAGCAAGGAGTTCAAGACAAGGTTGAGTAGCATAGCAAGACCATATCTGTTTAAAATCAATAAAAAATAGCTAGATGGATAGATAAATTAAAAAACAGATTCCAGTACTAAGTTTACAGAGATGTTAGAGTTATCAGACAAAGGTTTTAAAGCAGCCGTTATACAAATACAAATGCTTCAACATGCTTGAATTGTAAAATAAAAAGTCTCAGCAAAAAAAAAAGTCTAGGCACAAAATAGAAAGCATAAAGAAAAAACAAAGATTCTAGAAATGAAATGAACTTAGAAATTTAGGTGATCAGATTTCCAAGCAAAGTGTTGAAGTTATAGACTGGTTTATTCTTGCTGCTTTTAGTGAAATTCAAGAAGAAAATTAAAGAAATATTTATAAACATAAAGAAAATGGCCTACAAACTTTACAAAAGATACTAAAATTAAGACATTTACTGTATTAAGTATTTTCTAGAGAAAAATATGAGTGCCTGGCATTATAACCTTTGGATAATACCTTAGATCAGAAATGCACAGTGTTCAGTCACACAAAAACTCTTAAGTAAATTAAAGGCTCATGCATTGACCGCTTTTGCCATATTAGCAGAACCAAAAAGTAAAAGAGATTATTTCAGAAAGATCTGTTGACAAATTTCCTGTTTAGTGGAGTGAATTCCCATGCCATTTATGGAGAGACCCACAAGGTACGTGAGAATGTTATATGAGTAGAAACACTGCCAGTTTTGTCCAGAAGGCACAGAAAGCACAAGTAAAAGAAAGCTATTGAACTGCAACATTCCATAGTCAAGATATAAGCTGGTAAGACTACTCAACTACAAATACATTCTACTTTTTATGAAAAGGAATGAGTGACTTAGAGTCAAAAGCCCATAGGACTGAGCTATGAACCCAAATGATCAATTCATGTGCTTCAGAATATTATTCCCAGGCACTGACAAGTCAAGTTTTCCCATCTAGATTTTGAAATTGCTTGGACCAGTTGATTCTGGTTTTCCTTTAATTGTTTCACTCTTGGAGTGGAAATATCTGTAGCTACTAAATATATATGTCTCACCATTATATTTTTGATCAGATAACTTAATTCTTGTGCTTTAAAAACTTTACAGATGAAGAGAAATTGTGCTTCAGGATTGATTATAACCAGAGCCTCACCCATGCCTAATTTGTATTACTTAGATGACGATACACGAAACTTTTGAGGTTCTAAGATTTAGATGAGATTTTGGGTTTTAGTTGATGCTACAGTGGGTTAAGACTTGGGGGTGGTTTGAATATGGTGACTGTACTTTGTAGGTTGTATTCAGGTAAGTCTGAGGTCCAGATTTTGGACTGTGATAGACAGAATATGTCCCCTCCCAAGATGTCCACATTCAGAACCTATTAATGTAATGTTATTTAAAAATAAATACATAAATAAATATTGCAGAAAGAATTTTGCTAATCAGCTGACTTTTTTTTTTTTTTTTGAGATGGAGTCTTGCTCTGTCCCCCAAGCTGGAGTGCAATGGAGTGATCTCAGCTTACTGCAACCTCCATCTCCCAGGTTCAAGCAATTCTCCTGCCTCAGCCTCTCAAGTAGCTAAGATTACAGGCACCTACCACCACACGCAGCTAATTTTTGTATTTTTAGTAGAGACGTGGTTTCACCATGTTGGTCAGGCTGGTCTCGAACTCCTGACCTCAGGTGATCCACCTGTCTCGGCCTCCCAAAGTGCTGGGATTACAGGCATGAGCCACCACACCCAGCCTCAGCTGACTTTTTAAGATACGGAAGATAGAAGGTTACTATGCAAAAATCAATTGTTTTCATACCTACAAGCAATGAACAACTGGAATTTCACATTTAAAAACCAATGCTATAATGGCACCAATAGAACAGAATACTTAGCATGGATCTAACAAAGTATGTCCAATATCTGTTGCAGAAGATTACAAAACACTGAGGAAAGAAATTACAGATCTAAATAAATGATGACATGCCCCATGTTTATGTATTGAAATATTCAACATTGTTACAATTTTAGTACTTCTCTATTTGATCTGTAGATTCTTCAGTACAACCCCAGTCAAAATTCTAGCAAGCTATTTTGTAGCTATCAACATACTGAATCTAAAGTTTGTATGGGAAGACAGAAGACCTAGAATAGAAAACACAGCTCATAAGAAGGATTGAATTTAGAGGCCTTACACCATCCAATATTTGGAGACTTACTCTAACAGCTGTAGTAATCACAACATTCATTATTTGGGTGATGGGTACACTAGTAACCCAAACTCCAACATTATGCAATATACCCATGTAACAAACATCTATCTGCATGTACCCCCTGAATCTTAAAACATAAAAAACAAAACAGCAAAAGCTGTAAGAATCAAACTGCTGTGGAACTGACTTAAGAAAAACATATATAGTCCAATGGAACAGAATAGAGATACCACTAGCAGACCAACACAAATATTGACAACTTATTTTGATGGAGGAGCAAAGGCAATTAAATAAAGGACAGGCTATCCAAAAAACTGAGCACCTGTATACAAAATGTGAACTTAGACATAGATCTTATACATCACACAAAATTAACTCAAAATAAATCAAAATTTCAATATCTTTATATAAAATGAACATTAAAATATATTACATATATGTATATAAATATAAAATGCAAATATAGATATAAAATTCAAGACTATCAAACTTTTGGGAGAAAATCTATGTGACCTTGGTGAAGAGTTTTTAGAAAATTACATAAAGCATGATCTGTGAAAGAAAGCATTGGTAAGTTGAATTTGTATAAGTTAAAAATCCTGTCTGTAAAAATCACTTATAAGGGACAAGCCAGGGCCAGACGCAGTGGCTCACGCCTGTAATCCCAGCACTTTTGGAGGCTGAGGCAGGCAGATCACAAGGCCAGGAGTTGAAGTCAATCCTGGCCAATATGGTGAAACCCCGTCTCTACTAAAAATATATATATATAAAAATTAGCTGGGCATGGTGGTGGATGCCGGTAATCCCAGCTACTCGGGAGGGTGAAGCAGGATAATTGCTTGAATCAGGACCCGGGAGGCAGAGGTTGCAGTGAGCCGAGATCGTGCCACTGCACTCCAGCCTGGATTATGGAGTGAGATTGCATCTCAAGAAACAAAAAAACAAACAAACAAACAAACAAAAAAAGAGACAAGCCTCACGCTAGGAGAAAATATTTGCAAAATATGTAGTTAATAATGAATTTATATCCAAAATATATATTTAAAAAAACACAAAAAGCTCAAAATTAATAAAACATTCCAATTAAAAAAAAGATAGGCAAAAGACAGATGACCAAAGAGGACATAGAAAAGGGAAATAAGCATGTGAAAAGGTATTCAACATTATTTGTCATTAGAAGAATGTTAATTAAAAATACTATGAGATGGCATTTCTTACCTATTAGAATGACCAAAATCCAAAAACCTAACAGTAACAATTGCTGGTGAGGATTCAGAGCAATAGCAACTCTCATTCATTGCTGGTAGAAATGCAAAATGTTTCAGCCACATTGGATGACAATTTGTCTATGTCTTAGAAAACTAAACCTACTTACGATATGATCCAGCAATTACACTCCATGGTATTTCACAAATGACTGGAAAACTTACATCCACACAAAAACATGCACATGAATGTTTACAGCAGCTTATTCATCACCACCAAATCAAGAAACAAGCAAGATGACCTTCAACTGGTAAATGAGTAAATAAAATGTAGTATATTTATACAATAGAATACTATCCAGTGATAAAAATACATGTGCTATCAAGCCATGTAAAGACATGGATAAATCTTAATTGCATATTGCAAAGTGAAATAAGGAAATCTAACTAATCTACATAGTATGATTTCATTTATATGGTATTTTGGAAAAGCAAAATTATAAAGACAGTAAACAGATAAGTAGTTGATAAAGGTCCAGGAGTCGGGTGATCTGGGGAGTTAAATTAGTGAAACAGGGAATTGTTTAGGGTAATTAAACCATTTTATATGATAATTTAATGGCAGACACACTATATATTTGTCAAAACTATTAAAACTTCGCAGCACAAAGAATGAACATTAAATATGAAAACGTTTTAACATTTAGGAAGCAGAGGACCCCAGGATGAAATACAGACTGTAACCCCAAAATAATATAACTATGGTAAAAATATATAAAGCAATCCAACTGAATGGGGGATGCTGATCTAAGTAACCTTGCAAATGAGTGGCTTCTATAAGACTAAAGGCAAAAAGCACTGTACGTAAACACAGTACTTTAGTTGATAAAGTTGTTACCCATGAAGGTATGAGTTAACAATTCTGAAACATCTACATATTTGTACTGGGATTAAACAATAAAACAAATGGGCAATGCATAATGGGAGCCAGATTTCTCATGTTTGAAGCTCAAGTTTACAGAAAAGCAAGAGGAGAAAGCTGGAATGATCCATGTGGGGATGCATTAGAATAGGAGACATCAGTACGGAATCATGTTCAGCTTAATACAGATACAGATGCTTATGTGTAGACATGTGGATATGCATTGGTTAGTATACACAAATATCCTTTTTGCTCTACCAGTTGAGAGGGGATAGAAACAATGGCACCCCAAGAGCAAGAAACTCACCTATCACTCAGACATTTTTTTTTTCCTAATACCATACTCCAACAAAAGGAACTGGGTCTCGGAGAGATGACTGATTCTCAGGCTTCAGCAGGGAACATATAAATTGAATGAGGAACATTTTGTAATATCAGAAAGTTAAAAAGTGCTTTCAAAAAACTCCCACAATAATGCAGGTATATAAGAAATACCCAGGAACCAATTTAAAGCCAATTGCCAAAGCTGGAACAATTCAAGAACCCAAATAAAGCAACATTGGATTATAAGTCAAAGTATGAAATATACATTGATGAATCCATATTGATATAAAAAATGAATAAATTCATAAGTGGAGATAGTTAAATATCCCTTGCAGAAGATTCCTACACAATTTATGTAGATATTCTACTCTCAAGGAGGTAGAGCATAGCTTTTCAGACCTTAAGTTTGTGCTGCTCATAGTGAATTCCTTCCAAAGAGAAAAAGGGGAAAAAGAGTAAGTTTACAGTGGAGAAACCTGACAAATACTACCTCAGCCTGATGAGAAAGGTCAATGTCAACAGTCATAAATCACGGTGATAATATCTATCTTTGATGTGATATGATGGGAATGAGACTTAACCTCCATTATCTTCCTCCCTAAAACCCATAACCCAAGGCTAATCATGAGAAAAACATTAGACAAATCCCAATTGAGAGAGAGTCTAGAAAATACCTAACCAGTACTCATCAAAACTGTTAAGGTGACCCAAACAGAAAAGCTCTGATAAACTGAAGCCAGTACAGCCTAGGAGACATGACAATTAAATGTAACGTGATCTTCTGGATGACATCATATGGTAACATAATAAGGACGTTAGGTAAAGACTAAGGAGCTCTGAATAAAGTATGGACTTTGGTTTACGATAATATACAAATATCGATTGGGACAAATATACCATACTGACGTCAGATACTAATAATAGAGATAATTGAGTATGGAACTCCATTATTCTCTTTTTTATTATAAATCCAAACTATTCAGAAATTAAGTTCATTTTTTAAAAGTTATGGGCCATAGGAGCACATATTTCTCAAATCTGTGCAATGGTTCACATTTAACAAAAAATGTTACTCCTCAGAGCCAGACAATCTAATATAATGCCCACAATTGTATTCAATTCCAAACCCAGGATTTTGGAGCACATGTCTTTGTATGGGGCAACCTGTAGATGAGTAAGGGCTTTCCAACCTGGATTGCATGGCACAATATGCAGAGTAGTTAAAAACACAATCTCTGAAAACAAATCACCCAGTGTAAAATCCTAGCTCTATTGCTTACGAATCTTTTGACTTTGATATTGGTTAAGGAAGGGAGATTGCTTTGCAGGGATTGCCATAAGAGATAAAAAAATCACAGTTGGTTTTTTATGTATTATTTTCCTGTCACTAAAAATTTATACAAGGTTTAGTAGCTTTGAGGCAATTTACATTTAGTCCACTCCAGGGGACTTGTTGACTCAATTCTTATTTCTATAGCTCAGTCTGAAGATTATTTTTGTTAACAACAGGCTTTGGTGATCTTGCCAATCCACCACTGTACCCAACTCCCCAGTCAAGAAATAAGCTTAACATCCTCAGTCTTGGCTTCTAGGAAAATGTAAAGTGGAGTAACCTGGGGTGAGTAGTTACAGTCCCGCCCTTGCCTCAGAGCTACATTACTTTAGATTACTCTTCCAACTGGAAATTTTTAGGGATGTTAAGTGGGGAATATGCCACAGAAGATTGAGAGGGATATAGTACACAGAAAAGTAAATAGATTGATTACTTGTAAATTGTTGAATCAATAACTGCTTCCAACAGGAAGTAAGGTTCTGAAGGTCCAGGAGTACAGCAAGGTACCATCTCTGAAACTGGGGATTCAGATACCCACATCTGAAATTTTTATTATTCAAAACAATAATAAAAATGCATGTATTCTGACCAGAAGATATCAGAACTAAAGCTAAGCAGGCAAAAGGAGGAGATGCCCACTACCATTCCTTTGTGTTATTATTTCAAATTTTATTCAATAAAATATTGTGAAATCCAAGCTTTAGATACTTCATTCCCATTCTTTTGGGAAGTAGGAACTGAAAAGCCACCTGCTTCTATTTACTCTGCTCGAGTTTATACTACTACCATATATCTGAAAATAATCAGTTTTTCACACCACTCCACTGACTCTCAGGAACAATATGAGAACTCATTAGGTTACAGCTGTGAATCGCATAAAGTATTTATGAGCATAGTGTCATTTAAATGTAATTTACAGTGTTATTCTCATTCAATAATTTTTTGTGTGACCTGTGTTCTGAAAATTTCCGCTTGTTCTACTTTATAGTTAATGATAAAATGTCATTCAAGCTGCAATTAAAAAAAGATTTAAAGCAAATGTTAAACTAAATAAACTATAGGACTTATTTTCTGAAGTGACAGAGAAAAAAAGAGCAATGAAAATAACTCTAGCATGGAACAAAAAAAGATATAAATTTGTAAAAGAAATAATTTTTCAATAAAAATTGTAAAGCAGAAATATGTGTATTTTCACACATAGCTCAGAGTTCACATAAATGTCAAGAGGAGTGACAGTTGCTGAAATAAATGTGTTTTTTTAATGAAAAGCAAAGTAGTAAAACAAGCAAAATAGATGCATAAAATGGGTAAATTTTCAGTGTATTAGTTATTGCTGCCTCAGGGCAGCTGTAAATTACTAACTTGTTTTTAAACTTTTTTTAGTATTCATGAATGTATTCTGAGTCTGTTCTTCCTTCTTCTGCTCTTGTGATTTGACCCTTTGCTTATTTATAATCTTCTTTGAAGTACATAAATTAAAGGATACCAGATATTTGGATGGAGAAGATTCATATAAAAAATAAAATGTAATTGTGGATAATATACTAACTTTAGAAGTATCATGGTTATAAGAAAATCCTAGTAAAACATAAGATTTTACTTTGTCTCCTCTTATCCAAACACTTATTTTAACAAATATAAAACGTATTCTTTTGCTTTTCTTTTTCAAAAATGGACAATGCCACACACCATGACTATGAAAATTTTAAATGACAGTCTTAGTTCATCTGACCATACCTTCTTCATAGGTTTATAATGCTGCAGTGAAAATGTGTAATGAGATACAGAAAATAGAAAACAGCTGTAGATTAAAATGTTTTTTAGTATGGCAACGAATCTTTCAGTAGAAAAGTCATTTTTTTTGTACAAATCTGGAGACCTAAACAGCATATTCGCTAGAGCTACAGAGAACAGAGCAAAGTACCTCTTAATGGAGTTACCCCAAAGTTTATGCACCCTAAAGTTCCTATCTGGCGTCCATTCCTGCAATTGCAATTAGGAATTAAAGCAAATATCTCAAGAACTGTAAGAAATGTTTAATTCGGATTTTAAGTAGAAAATCAATACCTAAAAATGAACTTTAAATAACTGCCCAAAGTGCAGATTGTAAGAAAGTAGTAAGTTAAAGTTAACTCCACAGTTAATGCATTTTTCATAAGACCTATAGGAATCCCCCTTCTTAAGGATGCTGAAACTTAAAATGAACTCAAAACCAGGCAAATAACAGAACAAAAGATCAAGAACAGAACTAAGAATAATAAACATAGCCACTTTAACAATATCAAGTAAGAAGGTTTAAAGTTATAACAATATACTCAGACCACAGTGTGGTTATAAACCTATGTTACCTATAATTTGCTATGCAATATGCTTAAGAAAAGTGTAACATGTATATCAGTAATTTTATCTTCACTTTTGAGTTCAAAAATAATCATAGTCATGCACAGTTCATTTTTCTGCATATATTACCTACTGCATATAGGTATCGCTATAATGGATCTATTATACTCATTACATCAATCAAAAATTGGCATAAAATATAGAAATGTATGAGTTAATATCTGATAGAAACTGTAAAAGAAAATCGATTTTTAAAATCCAGTAGCCTTACCACTTCTCCCTCTCACTCATAAATATGCATGACCAATAGCCATGTTGGAAAAGCAACTTTTAAAATTCGATTTTAAATACGTGGAAATAGAAATTTTTACAACAATTCTCTCTCATCGCTAACAACTATATTAAATCAATGACCATTCTTCTATGTTGATTTTCCCCTACTCCACTATAAGTTCTGGAAGGAACCAAGTCTTATGTGACTCTGACTCAAAATCATTTAGCACAGTACTCTAGTTGTTACCTAGGTATAAAATAAATGTTTATTGAGATGACAAATACAAAGAGCATATACATACGGTTTAGAGATCAACCTCACAATTATTTTTTCACCTAAAAGCTGCATTTTACAATAACTATTAAAACAGTTCTATTGTGAAATATGACACATTCAGGAATGCAAATAAAACAAACACTTAACAAATTATTATAAAGCTAACACTATTGTAATCAAACCCAGGCTGAAAAACAACCTGTATATCAATTATCTCCTATCCTCAAAGTGTAACTTTACTGATAGCTATTTTTTAATTTATACTTTTATCACCTGAGTGCAACTGTAAACACTAGTGTGTAGTTTTATCTCTTTATTCGCTTGATACAAATGCCATTGTACAGTATTCACTCATCTGTATCAGACTTTCTTTATTTAGTGTCAACTATTGTAAGGTTATCCATGTTATTCTGTTAAAGTAGGCCATTATTTTGTTTCTGAGTGTTCCAATTCCTGAATGTTGAATAATATTTATTTCATTTACTTATCTATTTTATTGTTGATGGGCATTCATGCTATCTCCAGTGTTTGGCTTTTACGCATTATGCTGCCATGAACGTTCTTGTGTACACCTATATATCTATATCCAGAAACAGAACACTGGGGCATGTAGAATACATAGGTTTACTTTATTAAACACTGCTAAAGTTATACAAAGTATCTTGTGATAATTTTGAAAAAAAATATTTACTTCCACCAGCAGCCCCTTTTGCTCTATGTTCTCACCAATTCTTTACATTGTATGGAGTTTTTTGTTTCATTGATTGATTGATTAATGATAGCTATTTTTGTAGATGACAGTTGAGGTTTTCATTTGTAATTTCCTTATTAGGAGGGTGAACACTTTTCCAAATGATTATTGGCCATTTGGATATCCTGTTTGGGGAAATACCAGTTTGAGTATTTTGTCCATGATTCTCCTGAATCATCTGACTTCTTCTTTTTGACTTCTAGGAGCTCTTTATAAATTCAGCATATGAGCCCTTACTCTGTTCTGCATGTTACCTTTTCACTCTCTTAATGATATATTCTGATGAACAAAATTTTTGTTTTTAATACAGACCATTTTGGCAATCTTTGTTTTATGATTAGTGCTTTTTTCTGTATTGTTAAAAATTTTTTCTACCCCTGAGGTCATATTATCTTCAAAAGATTTATGCTTTGTTTGGTCTTACCTTCAGTTGTTCTTTTGAAGAGTGAAAGGTAGAAGTCATGCTTTTTAAATTATTATTGTTTCTTATATTGACGTATCATCATATACTGGGAAGACCATCTTTTCCTTCCTGCTCTGCTGAACAATCTTTATCATGAATTAAGTGTTCGTAGATGTGTAGAGTCTATTTATGGACTCTCTTCTTTGCTCCAGTAGCCTGTTTGTCTCTATCTTTGTGTCATACCATTATACACCAAAAGCTGAATATTTATAATAAATCTTCATATTTTCTATAGTAACTTCTCTTCTCATCTTATGCTTCTATATTATTGCTTTGCCTATTCTTATTAGTTTACACTTGCATACAATATTAGATTGATTCTGCCAATTTCCACAAAAATGTTTGTTGGAATTTTAATTTTTTCATTGCACCTATAGATCAGTTTGAAAATCAGAGACATATGTAAGTATTGAATCTTTCAATCCATGAACTCGGTACATTTCTCTATTTACTTAGGTCTTCTATAACTTTAGCAATAATGTTTTATAACATTGTAGAAATTAAAATTTTTATTAGCATTATTCCTATGTATTTGATGTTTTAAAACCATCAAAATGCTATATTTTTGTTTTATTTTAAATTATTTGCTTATTGTATAGAGATAATTGAGTTTTGCATATTAGACCTATAAACAACTATTATAATAACTTTACATTAATTTTAACAATTTATCTTATATTATTCTTGATTTTTCTATATATACAATAAATATAAGCAAGTTTATGTTATCTTTTAAATAATATTTTTTCTCTTCATGTAGTTGTTACAACTTCTAATAGATTCTTGCATGGAAATGGTGAGAACAGACGTATTTGTCTTGATCCAAATCTCAGAGAGAAAGGTATCAACAATTCATTATTAAGTATGATAGTTACTGTAGAGCTTATGTATACATCTTTTATCACATTTAGTTATCCTCTATTCCTTTTTTGCTGTTTCTTTTCTTTTTGCTTAGAGCTTCTGTTATGAATACATGTTAAATTTTTATCAAATGCTTTTTCTGAATTTATTTAATTCATATTTTTAAAATTTACTTGATTTTTGTAGTGATTAACATCAATTAATTTTTAAACGTGAAATTATAATTGTTTCCTGGAATAAATAGTTGCGTATTAGTGTGGAGGGGCACAGAGTTAATCAACTTTGCTTTTGAATTTGAGCCTTTCGTTTATTTATAGTTAATGTAGTCTTAATGATTAAGGGTTTAAATCTTCTATTTTACTATGTGCTTTTTATTTATTAGTGTTTTATAATTTGTTTAAAGATTTTTATCATTTTTTCCCTTTAGTTAGTTTGGAAGTTATTCACTCTTAATATTCCTTTGTAGGTTTTTTTGTTGGAAATTACAACAAGGATTCTCAATAAAATCTAATTATACCCGAAACTTTTGCATTATCTGGATAACCAAAGGGCTTTAAGTAATTGTATTTCCATTTACTTCCCTCAAAATATATATGCTATATTTCTCTATATATACTGTTTCGTGATGAACTATGAAATCAAGACCATAGATGTTCATAACCAGAATTTGTTTAGATTTACCACATAGCAATCTTTATGTTGATTTTCATTTTTTTTTCTGCCTTCCCATTTTTCATCTGGCAACATTTCCTTCTACATGAAGAACATTCTCTAGTATTTTCATTAGGGCAGCACTTCTGTTGACAGATATTGTTAGTCTGTCTTCTGAAAATTCTCATGTGTTATTTTTTAAAGGTATTTAGCTAGCTTTAAGTAGCTGGAATACTAGGTTAGTAGTTAATTTTATTTATTACACCATCTTCCAGATTCCTTTGTGTCTAATATGAAGTCAGATGTTTGTTAATCTTTTGAAAGTAACCCATCTTTAATATGTATTTACCTTAAAATTCTCTCTCAATTTGATTTCCTGTAGTTTTACTATGAGGTAGAAATTTATTTAATTATATTGCTTGATATTTATTACATCTGTGAAACTATTAATATTTATTATGGTCTAAATATGTTCTCCAAAATTCATATGTTAAAACTTATATACCAATATTATAGTATTAACAGGTAGGATTTTTAGGAGGTAAGTAAGAAGGGCTCCACTCTGGTGAATGGGAATAATGATATTAAAGAGGTTTCACATTGCATTCACCCATTCTTCCCCTTCCATCCTCCTGCCATGTGAGGACACAGCTTTCAAAGTGCCATCTTAGTGGTCAAAAGCAGGCCTCATAAGACATAAAACATGCCAATGCCTTGATCTTTGCCAATCTAGCCCACAGAACAGTGAGAAATCAATTTATGTTATTAATTACCCAGTCGCGGGTAATTTTATAGTAGCAAGTTTTCAGCTAGTATATAAATTTTTATTGTGACCCATTTGCCTTCATTTGTCCTTCCATGACTCTGATAAAAATACATTCTAGATCATTCTACCGTATCATCTAGATCTCTAATCCATTAATCTTCCCTTCCAGGATTATTTCATGTCTATGTGTTTCCTTCTGTTTTTTTTTTCTGATTTATTTCTAGTTTGTCAAATATCTCTTTACATATTTTGATCTCGTGTTAAACCCATCCACTGAGTTGAGACATTAATCTTAGATATTGTTGTTTTTCAGTACTAAAATTTATACTTGGTTCTTTTATAAATCAGCCTTGTAAATTTGTATTGTTGCTAGTTCTCTTTTTTAATCTCATCTTAATATCCTTGAGTATACAAGGCATATTTATTTTCATTTGTTTTCCAATAATTTCAATATCTGAAGATCTTGTGGGTATTTTTTCTATTTAACATGGTATTTCTGCTGGTTTACCTTCAGATTGCCTTGTATCATCATGTGTCTAGCTATCAGGGGAACCAGCCCCCAATATTTCAATGTAGGTTCTTTCTATTTTCCATAAGTGTCGGACAGCTGAGAAATAAAGAGAAAGAGTACAAAGAGAGGAATTTTACAGCTAGGCCTCTGGGGGTGACATCACAAATCGGTAGGACTGTGATGCCCACCTGAGCTGCAAAACCAGCAGGTTTTTATTGAGGATTTTAAAAGGGGAGGGGTGCAAGAACAGGGAGTAGGTCACAAGATCACATGCTTCAAAAGGCAAAAAGGAGAACAAAGATCACATGCTTCTGAGGCCAGTAAAGATCACAAGGCAAAGGGCAAAGCAAAGATAACAAGGCAAAATCAAAAACTCCTGATAAGGGTCTATGGTCAGCTGTGCATGTATTGTCTTGATAAACATCTTAAACAACAGAAAACAGGGTTCAAGAGCAGAGAACTGGTCTGACCTCAAATTTACCAGACTGGGGTTTCTTCCCCACCCTAATAAGCCTGAGCGTACTGCAGGAGACCAGGGCGTATTTCAGTCCTTATCTCAACTGCATAAGACAGACACTCCCAGAGCGGCCGTTTATAGACCTCCCCCCAGGAATGCATTCCTTTCCCAGGGTCTTAATTATTAATATTCCTTGCTAGGAAAAGAATTCAGTGATATCTTCCCTACTTGCACGTCTGTTTATAGGCTCTCTGCAAGAAGAAAAATATGGCTGTATTCTGCCCAACCCCACAGGCAGTCAGACCTTATGGTTGTCTTCCCTTGTTCCCTGAAAATTGCTGTTATTCTGTTTTTTCAAGGTGCACTGATTTCATATTGTTCAAAGACACATGTTTTACAATCAATTTGTACAGTTAACACAATAGTGGTCCTGAGGTGACATACATTCTCAGCTTATGAAGATAACAGGATTAAGAGATTAAAGATTTTTATAAGAAATTATAAAAGTATTAATTTTGGGAACTGATAAATGTCCATATTAAAATGAAATCTTCACAATTTATGTTCCTCTGCCGTGGCTCCAGCCAATCCCTCCATTCAAGGTCCCTGACTTCCTGCAACATCTAGCTATCTTTGCTTGTGGGACAGAAATTTTGTTATATTCTTCCAGATAATATTTTTCTTTTGTTTCTGCCAGATGCCTGGGGACACTAGTTATCTAAGACCCTCTTCATACAATTTCTGAGACAGTTTTTTCCTGAACTTCAAATATAACTCTAAACTGGGCTATAAGCTGTATAAAAGCTGGTAGACTTCTAGTTCATTTGTTCAATCTTTTTTTTCCCATTTTAAAATGCCAGTGGTTTTATAGCACCACTTTAACAGGCTCTGACTATAACCTTTCCACCATGCCCTAAGGTGCTAAAAAATACTGATCGGCTTTTCAGCCATCTCTTCCAATTTAACACATGACCTCAGAACATAAGCAGCTCTGAAAATGGAAGACCTACTTTTCTAATCTTTCCATATTTCTGACATTCTTTAGAACTTTAAAATTGAATAGTTCTGCTGTTCAATTCATAATTACATCTCCGATGCCTTCAACCTGATTTTGTCTACTTTTGCCAGTTTTCTTAGTTAGAGGGTTGTTATAAATTCACACATCTATTACTATAGAAGGTCATACTTTAACATTTATTTCTTATTATGTAATACCTGTTGGTTCTTGAACATTCAGAAAGTGTTAAAAAGCACAAAGAAACAAAAACACTTTTTTCATAAAATCCAGAATTATCTACTGCTAGCATTTCACATACAAATTTCCTTTTTTTCCTATGTATGTGTATTTGAGTATCCATATAATCTTTTGTAACACTGGTTCATATAATAATTTATAGTCTGTTTGTTGGTTTACTCAATATTTTACAAATATTTTTTCATGTTGCTAAGTCATCTTCTAAAATGTTTGTGAGAGTCATGAATGTTTTATTAAAAACGTATGTGATTATAAGAATTAAAGTTATAGAAAAATTATAAGGAAAAGAAAAATCAACTGAGCACTATTAACACCAGATAAGTATGACTGTAAATATTTCTCAAGAGACAGATACATATAGAAATGGACATGTAGGTTGATAGGCAGAAATAAAGTTTTTAAGAATGAGATAAGGATTTCACACATTATTTTCAGAGGAATTATTAAATTTTATTTGAATTTCAAGTCAAATGAACTCTGAAGAAGTACATTCAAAATTGACAAACTAAGTATTTCTTAACAAGAATATATACATATATACATTATACAATTATATACACAGAGAAAGATATAAATAAATTTTGATATGTTATTGAAGGATTAATTTGACACTTATGATTGCTCCTCTCCCCTTAGGTATATGCTAGATTTCCAGTTAAGTGGAAATAATTCTGGCACAGAGGTACTTAAGAAGGAAGACCAGACCATGGGTCTTCAAATAAAAACTGCAATGTCAGCAATAAATGTCAAATTGTTTCCCCAACTTATTGCCTGGCCCTAAAAATAGCAAGCCCAGGTGAGATTCTTCAGGAATAGGTAGGCTCTCAAATATACTTTATATCTATTTTCCATGCTGGATCAACAAAGTAAGACTTTACTGGATGTTCTGAATCACTGTCTTTCACAGAAGCACGTCTGAGCTCTGAGCATGGAGTTCAGCACCTTCCAATGCTGCATAGAATCACGATGAAATGTTTTGTCTCTCCTTGGCCTTTACTTGTCAGGGCTTATGTCATAAAGTATTCATTTTCTGTTTTCTTGTTGCTAATGAATTTTTCCTCTGGATTTTACTGCTATTTGTTTATTTTCCTAGTTATGAGATAATGCTGATCCAAGTCACAGTCCCCAAAGCCTGCTTTTGTTGGTCCTCTTCTAGTTGGTGTCCCTGCCTTACTCTAATAATACATCTGTTCTGTCTTCCTTAGAACGGTCAAAATGAGCATCGCAAAACATTAATCAGATCATCTCTCTTCTACTTAAACTCCTCCATTGGCTCCCCTGGACTTGGCCCTGCTGCTTCCTTCACACTTTTCACTCCTGTATTTCCCTCATTCCTACTGTTTCTCTCCAGTATCTCCCTCACTCCTACTAAAACACAGTGGCCTCTGCCTGTCTTTCAAACAGCACAAGCCTGAAGCCATCTCAGGGGCTTTGCATTTTTCCTTCCTGTTACATAATTCTTTTCTTTGTAATTTTACTAGGACATTTTTCTTCTCATTATTCATATTTTAACTTTAAGTTGGCACTGCAAAGCAGTCTTCCTTACCCACCTCACTAAAGTAGTAGTTCTGGACATATTGTGCTATTTTTCCATTTTATCTTTTCCATAACACTTCTCAATTCAGGAAAATATTTGTTTATTTCCTTACTTATTTACTCACTTCTTTTATGTGAGTCCAGAACAAAGGAGGAAGAGTCTGAAATTTTACCTTACTTGAAACTTAACAGGTGAGCCTGCCATATCTTTCTCATTGCTCTAAGGGGATGAGATACTCCTGGGCCAAAGACAGTGTACATTATTATTCACAGCAATAGTGTCTGTGTCAGTTTCTGGAGCCCCAATTCCCACACAATGAGTCAAAGAGGATCAGGAAACACCTGAACACAAGTGACTTATATTACAGGAGAGAAATTCTGAGCTTAGGGAAGTCAAAACTTATAGACTAGACTTTAAGAAAACCTCCTCTTTGCTCCAGAGAAATACTCTAAATACACACTACATATTCTAAGGATGTATGTGTTGGGGCTCAGAAACAGATGTCTTAAACTATGGTGCTTTGTACGTGCTAAGTTGAAAAAGGAGCCTCAGATTTCTCTGACCTACCTCTTACCCTGTGCTGTCTCTCCCCAGGATTTTCTGAAGTTCCTTGTCTGCCTGAAGTCCAGACCTGCCAAAGAAGAAAACTACCTTCAGTGCTTCCCCTGAGTTTTTCTTAACTGAACCTATATTGTAGGAAGGAAGACTAAAATCTGTCAACAAACCAGGACAGAACTTTTGTCACAAATCATTTTCCATTCTGTGGGCCCAAGAGGCTTTGCCCTAGACCATTATATGTTCTTCAAGACCACTGAATTCTCCCTAGTAATTATTTCTTGTCCCTCGACAGAATTCCTCTTCTCCCTCCTTCCTACAAACTGTTTTGCCAGGATTCAAGCCTCCCCTTTTTCTGTAATCTTAAGATGGTATATAAGCTCCTGCCCTTCATTGGGAAGTTGGATCTTCATTCTGAAGGCTTTCATATACACAAGTTAAATAAAATTATATGTCTTTTCTCCAATTAATATGCCTCTTGCAAGTTCCCATTAGCCCTTACATGTATTTTACATAATGTCATCTTATATTCTACCATCATGTGTGTGTTAGTAATTAATGTATTGCCTTTCACCTCCAAATTTACCTTTCAATATATGTTCTGTAATAATAGATGGAATTCCTTCGAGTATTTCCCTTTTAAAGAGAGTACGATGTTAAGCTGTGTCAGCTGAGAGTGCTCGGCTGGCAGGAAGTTCCCAGAGGAAGGAGCTCCCCTTGGTTTTCCAGCTGCAGCACAGAGTGGGGTGTCAGCAACCATGGGTGTGAGGACATCTGGTAGAGCTCTGATTTAGCTGGGGGCCCAGAATGTAAGAAACTTCAGCAACTTTACAACCTTAGCCTGGAGATAAACTTTCCATAACTCTCTTGACCAAGAAAACTGTTGCCCTGAAGGCCTTTCATCCAAATCAGCATTCCCCTTTTGCCATCCTCTCTGAAGGTCTCTGGGCAGACTGCCGGCAGCCTGGAGGGATCCCACAGAGTGGCTATTCTCACTGCAGTCCATTATGCAGCCTGCCTATGCCTACGGAATTCTCACTAAGCCTCTGTTGAGCACAGTACAGCTGCCTGCAACCCAGTGTTCCCACCTCTCTGGACACTTCTGCCCCTAACTGCTGATTGCCTGCTCCCAGCCTGCATTCTGGAGAGTTGCCTCCTGCTTGCCAAGTGCAGCAAACCAAACCAGCTCCGGCCTAACCAAACCTATGAACTTCTCTGCTATACAATGAGCTGAACTATTAGGTTGGTGCAAAAATAATTGTCATTTTTGCCATTAAAAGCAATGGCAAAAAAACCCACAATTATTTTGCACCTTCCTAATACTAAATGACAAGTTACTCAAGAAGGTCGAAAATCCTTCAAAATTTGTTTTTCTTTCAGTACTTTCCCTCTGATCAATCGATCTATCTATCTGTCATCTGTCATCTATCTATCTCTATTTCTATCAATCATGTATCCATCTATATAATGTAGTTACTTTTTATCAGACTTTAATTATTTTTATATTAAATTTGCCCATTTAACCTACAGTATGATTTTCCCCTTGTTTAACCTACTGTATAATTTTTATGTCCTAATTGGATCTACAAAGGTTCAATGCATTTAATCAATTCATGTTGTAAATATATATGTTGTTTGTAATCTTTCATCACTATTAAGAATACGAAAAAGAACATCTCTGATCATGAATATTTCCATGTGTCTGTGATTATTTCCTCAGAGAAAATACCTAAAAGAGAAAATGCTGCTTCAAAAGTTATGTACATTTTTGGCTTTTTATATAGTTTGCAGAAATACCCTCCAGAAAGGATGTGATAAAACATACTTTTTGTAGTGAAGTATGGAATGACAAATTCCCATCACATTATAATAAGCATGGTATATTTTTAAAAAAAGGAAAAGAAAAAAATGCACTAAGATTACCCAACAGCATTTCCCTAGCCTACAAAAAATTTACCAAAGGTGAGGAAAACCCATATTACAGCACATGTTGGACTCTTAGAGGTTATTACTTAGAGAAATAAAAGTAGTATTAGATGAAAAATGATTTCTAAGTCCCTCTTGACTTGTAAACACTCCACACCCCAGAACCCTCTCCACTTTTGCTTCCACCAGAACCTCTTCACACCTCATTTCTTTATTCATCGAAAACCTCAAAGGAACTCAGAAGGCTTACAGCTGAGCCAAACTATGAGTTTTAAAAGCTTATCAGTCAACTTCATCACTACTTACTGTGTTCTTGGGGGGAAAAAGTATTCTGAATTTCGAACATATTGCAGAAAGCTAAAACTAAAAAGAATATTTGTTCTAATGAAGCATTAGACTTTTTTATTTCCATGAAGAGGAACGTGCTTAAATTCTGAGAATGAGGTACATTTGGTTTGCCACAGGAACTGAAAATCTGAAATTCTAGGATTCTTAATCTGGAAGACATGGGTTTTGGCAGGTACCAGGTTTAAATCAACAGATGTGTCTTTAAAGTCATAGTAATAGCAAACTGAATTGCATTTGTAGAGACAATGAATCAAATTATTACAAGCTGGTAGTAAAATATAAAATGAAACTAACTAGAAAAAGGCAATGAGTCAAGATGACTATAGACTTGGAAATCAATCAATTTACAAACATCCCAATAAACCCTAGAGATAATTAAAGCTTCTTCTCAATCATTAACTAGTAAGGCCAGAGCCACCTTTATTAAACAGGGAATTGAAAAGAGGCAAATGTCTATGTTCCAGGACACTTCACAGTTCCTACATATTTGCTACTTATTCAAACACTTGTATTCTGGACCTTAACTTTCCTTCCACACTCAGCATCATCTCTCAATTTTGGCAAACTCTATTTATTCCAATATATTGATTGCTTTGCATAGGTAAATGGCGCCCATAAGTCATGCCACAATTACATGTCAATTAGGCTTAAACCCGCTCAGTGACTCCTTGGCTGCAAATGTTTACAGACATGATACTAAATGATCACTTATATGAACATTAAAAAATAATAAATCTTCAGGCTGGTTGATTTGGCCATTTGTACAGCTGTTGACTTCATTTTTTGAAATCAGATAATAGTTTTCCCACATTCTTGCCAATTAAAGTATAAAGATTACTGGCTTAATGATTTTAAAAGATTTCTGGTGTCTTCAAGAGTAAGATCCTCCTAAAGTGCATGGGGTCATTATGCCTCCATTGTGTTACTTCAAAATTGCACAAATGAGATGGAAAATTTGGTAACCTAATTCCATTCTCATTAGTCTCATGAATCTACTATAAACTCCTGGTCAAAGCCTTGGCACTGACCTATTAATAGATGTTTGAAACACCAAGGAAACAGAATATTCTTTTGAACTTGAACTCCTTGTTGACAGGAAATGGAAAGAGTAGTGGGTGTTTTGTTTGAGGGGTGTGTGTGTGTGTGTGTGTGTGTGTGGTTTTGAGAGGTTCCTGCACTCAGCAGCCCCAAAGCTGCAGCTGCTTCAGAGAGACTTCCTGCAGAGTGACAGGCTCCCTTCTGAGGAAAACAGGAGTGAAAGCTGTTTTGGATCTCAGCACTACAGGGTGCTGCACATGGCACCAGCTTTCAAAGTCCCTCTTATGCTCTTCAATGGGACAATGTCAGTTTAGTGAAATGTGACTAGGTAGAAAAGCACAGAAATATCATTTGCTTTTTGTCTACTACTCAGCACTTCAAGGGTTCTGTCATACTGCCTTTTTGAGAAAAAAAAATAAAATTGTTTAATCATATATTGTGAGCCCAAAGTGTTCAGAATTCACAAGTAGACAAACATATCTGCAGAACTGGGTGAACAATGCCCCCAAAGATCTCCGCAACCTAATCCCTGGAATTTGTTAATATGCTTCCTTGCATGACAAAAAGGCTGTTGCAGGCTTGATGAAATTATGGGCTTTGAGATGGGGAGATTATCCTGTATTATCCAGGTAGGCCAAAGTAATCAAAAGTGATCAAAATCAGAAAAAGAAGATGTGACTATAGAACCAGAGGTTGAAGTGATGAACTTTGAAGATGAAGGAAGAGGCTATAAGCAAACATATGCAGGTGGCCTCTCAAAGCTGATAAAAGCTTTCATGCAGCCTCCAGATGAAAATGCAGGCCTGCCAACTCCCTGATATCAGCCTCTGAACATCAGAACTAAAGGAATATAATTTTTGTTGTTTAATGCTACTGTTTCTCGTAACTTGTTAGAGTAGCAATAGGAAACTGACACAAGAACTAATCAGCATATACGGAGCTCCTAGGATGAATTTAGTTTTGTGACTGTTTAGGGATTTCATGATGGTAAAACTCAGGATAAAGTCAAAGTACTTCTAAAATCTCCAAAGACTCAAGAAGTCCCACAGCATTCTGACTGCCACGAGCGAAAGGATACCTGGAATAGAGGCCAAAGCAGTCATCCTTAAAAATTAAAAAGTCTTCAGCATATGGCTAGCCAGTTTTCCCAACACCATTTATTAAACAGGGAATCCTTTCCCCATTGCTTGTTTTTGTCTGGTTTGTCGAAGATCAGATGGTTTTAGATGTGTGGTGTTATTTCTGAGGCCTCTGTTATGTTCCATTGTTCTATGTATCTGTTTTTGTACCAGTACTATGCTGTTTTTGTTACTGTAGCCTTGTAGTGTAGTTTGAAGTCAGGTAGTGTGATGCCTCCAGCTTTGTTATTTTTGCTTAGGATTGTCTTTGCTATACGGACTCTTTTTTAGTTCCATATGAAATTTAAAGTAGTTTTTTCCAATTCTGTGAAGAAAGCCAATGGTAGCTTGATGGGGATACATTGAATCTGTAAATTACTTTGGGCACTGTGGCCATTTTCACGATACTGATTCTTCCTATCCATGAGAATGGGGTTGTTTTTCCATTTGTTTCTGTCCTCTTCTAGTTCCTTGAGCAGTGGTTTGCAGTTCTTCTTGAAAAGGTCCTTCACATCCCTTGTAAGTTGGATTCCTAGGTATTTTATTCTCTCTGTAGCAATTGTGAATGGGAGTTCGCTCATGATTTGGCTCTCTGCTTGTCTGTTATTGGTGTATAGGAATGCTTGTGATTTTTGCCCATTGATTTTGTATCCTGAGACTTTGCTGAAGTTGTTTATCAGCTTAAGGAGATTTTGGGCTGAGATGATGGGGTTTTCTAAATATACAATCATGTCATCTGCAAACTGAGACAATTTGACTTCCTGTCTTCCTAATTGTATACCTGTTTTCTTTCTCTTGCCTGACTGCCATGGCCAGAACTTCTAATACTATGTTGAATAGGAGTGGTGAGAGAGGGCATCCTTGTCTTGTACCGGTTTTCAAAGGGAATGCTTCCAGCTTTTGCCCATTCGGTATGATATTGGCAGTGGGTTTATCATAAATAGCTCTTATTATTTTGAGATACGTTGCACCAATGCCTAGTTTATTAAGAGTTTTTAGCATGAAGGGCTGTCGAATTTTGTTGAAGGCCTTTTCTACATCTATTGAGATAATCATGTGGATTTTGTCATTGGTTCTGTTTATGTGATGGATTACGTTTATTGATTTGTGTATGCTAAACCAGGCTTGTATCCCAGGGATGAAGCTGACTTGATCATGGTGAATAAGCTTTCTGATGTGCTGCTGGATTTTGGTTTGCCAGTATATTATTGAGGATTTTCGCATTGATGTTCATCAGGGATATTGGCCTGAAATTTTCTTTTTTTGTTGTGTCTCTGCCAAGTTTTGGTATCAGGATGATGCTGGCCTCGTAAAATGAGTTAGGGAGGATTCCCTCTTTTTCTATTGTTTGGTATAGTTTCAGAAGGAATGATACCAGCTTCTCTTTGTACCTGTGGTAGGATTCAGCTGTGAACCCGTCTGGTCCTGGACTTTTTTTGGTTGGTAGGCTATTAATTACTGCCTCAATTTCACAACTTGTTATTGGTCTATTCCGGGATGAGACTTCTGCCTGGTTTAGTCTTGGGAGGGTGTATGTGTCGAGGAATTTATCCATTTCTTCTAGATTTTCTAGTTTGTTTGCATAGAGGTCTTTATAGTATTCTCTGATGGTAGTTTATATTTCTGTGGGATTGGTGGTGATATCCACTTTATTATTTTTATTGCATCTATTGTATCCCTTCCTTACACCTTATACAAAATTAACTCAAGATGAATTAAAGACTTAAATGTAAGACCTAAAACCATAAAAACCCTAGAAGAAAACCTAGGCAATACCATTCAGGACATAGGCATGGGCAAAGACTTCATGACTAAAACACCAAAAGCAATGGCAACAAAAGCCAAAATTGATAAATGGGATCTAATTAAACTAAGAATCTTCTGCACAGCAAACGAAACTATCATCAGATTGAAGAGGCAACCTACAGAATGGGAGAAAATATTTGCAGTCTATCCATCTGACAAAGGCTAATATCCAGAATCTACAAAGAACTTTAATTTATAAGAAAAAACAAACAACCCCATCAAAAAGTGGGCAAATGATATGAACAGATACTTCTCAAAAGAAGACATTTATGTGGCCAAGAAACAATTGAAAAAAAGCTCATCATCACTGGCCATTAGAGAAATGCAAATCAAAACCACAATGAGATACCATCTTGTGCCAGTTAGAATGGTGATCATTAAAAAGTCAAGAAGCAACAGATGCTGGAGAGGATGTGGAGAAATAGGAGTGCTTTTACACAGTTGGTGGGAGTGATTAGTTCAACCACTGTGGAAGACAGTGTGGCAATTCCTCAAGGATCTAGAACTAGAAATACCATTTGGCCCAGCAATCCCATTGCTGGGTATATACCCAAAGGATTGTAAATAATTCTACTATAAAGACACAGGCATACATATGTTTATTGCATCACTGTTCACAATAGCAAAGACTTGGAACCAACCCAAATGTCCATCAATGATAGACTGGATTAAGAAAATGTGGCACATATACACCATGGAATACTATGCAGCCATAAAAAGGATGAGTTCATGTCCTTTGCAGGCACATGGATGAAGCTGGAAACCATCATTCTCAGCAAGCTAACACAAGAACAGAAAACCAAACACCACATGTTCTCACTCATAAGTGGGAGTGGAACAATGAGAACACATGGACATGGTGGTGGGGGACATCACACACCATGGCCTCTCACTGGGGGTGGGGCTGGGGGAGGGATAGCATTAGGAGAAATACCTAATGTAGATGACGGGTTGATGGGTGCAGCAAACCACAATGGCATGTGTATACCTATGTAACAAACCTGCATGTTCTGCACATGTGCCCTAGAACTTAAAGCTAAAAAAAAAATTTTTTTTAAGTCATTCTAGAATCCATCCCTTCTTTAGGTCATGTTACTACTTGAAAAGTCTTTGGCCCAGTAGATTAGTCTTTAAAACATTGATATCAAAACATGTTAATAATTTGTTTCCAACCTATTTCTTCAGCCCCATGTCCTCCTCTAGCATCCTGCATGACAGATGCATCCCTGGAAAAAACATACCAATGCTGGAGCCACTGATTAGAATGACTTACCTGGCAAATGTCTGCTCTTCCTTCCAGAAGTCCAGAGTAAGCATTAACTTTGTAAACAGCCTTTCCTAACTTTCCACGTCCCTTCCTTAACAGCCTAAATACTTTGCTGAATAAAATATTATTACACTATCAATGTTGTAGTGTAATTTCTATTATGACATAATCTATCTTTTTAAAAATCTTCCTATCCCTGCTTGATTATGGTTTTATAAAGAATGAAAAGAGCAAACTTATTAACTGCCTGATCCTTAATACTTAAGTTTTGGCACTTAAAAAATGAATGAATGAATGAATGAACAAATCCAAGAGTATAGGTTTTAATGAGTTCAATTTGTGTGCATGCCAACAGGTTTTCTATGGCAAAAATACCTGACCCCTGACATGACTCTCATAGCTCTGTGACAGGTTTTCCATGGCAAAAATACCTGATCCCTGACATGGCTCTCAGAGCTCTATGTAACCTGTCTCCAACTTCTTCTGCCTTTCCTCTACTCAATTGCCTTGCTTCCCAGCTCTGCTAACCATCTTTCAATTACTCAAAATAAAAATTCTTTTTTGTTGTTTTAGGAATTCTGCAAATGCCTCTGTTCATTATTCAAATCACATCAACTAAATCCACTTCTACTTCTCATCACACACTTTGCTTTGATAGCTTCTTCCTATCCAATAAGTCTCACATTAAATTACAATTTTCTTAAAGGCCTATTGTGACCAACCAATCTAAAGTAGATAGCTATTATTACACTCTCTCACAGCTCATATTCTTTTCCTATGTATAACAACTTGTAATTATAAGCACACGTGTTTAGTTGTTAAATTTAGGTCTCTCCCTCAGAAATGAAGTTCAATGAAGACAGACATGTCAGTTTTCTTCCCCATTATTGTACTATCTACATGGCAAAATTTGCACACAATGTCAGGGCTCAAAAATATTTGTTCAATTATTGACTAGATGAAGGATACATGCATGAAAGAAAATATAAATGACTTAATAGCAAAAGTTTCCCAAGCAGAGATGGATACTTTGCCATACTTTGTTGACATGAAGAGAATCAGCTATATGTAGACAAATTGATGAATACAAATCTATCAATTTGTTTGTAAAAAAAAAAAAAGTGTATAAATCAGCCCATTTTAATCCCAGGTTACAATAATACTTGCTAGATATTATGGTATACAGGTACCAATTTAAGTAGTAATTATAGCTGAGTAGATTAGGTTAGTGTGTACACATTCCATACAAACATCAAAGTCTTTGTTCAAGAAAATAAAATGAAGTACATTTGACACTAGATTGCCCTCATGTCTCAACAGTAAATATTGTTTCTGATCTTAAAAGTTGTTTTATGCCCACAGATTCAGAATTAGTTATTGTTGTTTCCTACTTTGCACTTAAATGCGTTTTCAAGTGATAATAGAATTTGTACAAATTTCTTCATTCACAATTTGTTTTGCTTCATTCACAATTGTGTTATTTCTTTCTTATTATAAACAACTATATAGTACCGTATCAACATGTTAAGTTTCAACTTTCTGAAAGCTGTGAATTCCATAGTCTCGAGAACAATGGCTCTGTCTATTGCAATCACCAGGAAAAACAGCATAATTTTATCAGGCACAACTAATTATTTTAGAATGTTTTTAGACAGTGATAATGTTAATTGTGACTCGTACTAAGATCATCTCCAAGTTCTTAAAATAATTGATTAATCTCTTGTTTTCAAGACTCCTTAAATTTCTGTTGTTTTCTGGGGCTAAGAGACTAAGAAGCATATATATATATATATATATATGAGAAATATATATATATGAGAAATATATATATATGAGAAATATATATATGAGAAATATATATATGAGATATATATATGAGAAACATATGAGAAACATATATATATGAGAAACATATATATGAGAAACATATATATGAGAAACATATATATATGAGAAACATATATATGAGAAACATATATATGAGAAACATATATATATGAGAAACATATATATGAGAAGCATATATATATGCTTCTCTTACACAGTGTTTAATAGTAGTAGTGATAAAACATATATATATATGTCAAGAGAGAGAAAATCATAACATTTGACTTGTTTTTTATAGTTTTGTTCTCAATGCACATTAGTATTCATTCTTACTTGAGGTTCAGAAAAACATTAAGGTTTTTGTCTCTTCTTATCCTTGTTCCATTAGTTATCAATATAAACATCCTTACCATGTTGTATTATAATAAAACTTTATCAATATTGTTCATAGTTATCTGTATCCATATGTTTTTTCCCACACTAGCAAGGATTCTAATTTATTCATCTTGGTATAAAAAAATCTCTACAGTGCATGTTATACAAAAGGCCTTAATAATATTTGCTAAATTGAGCAGACTGGAGTAGGAATTGTAGTTATTAACAAACTTTTGAAATTAGAATCCTAGGCTAAGTTTATAATCCATTTACAAGATTCAAAATGATGGCTAACAAAATCAGGACTAGAAGTTACCTAGCTGATACTTTGAGCAAAGCTTTTTCCACTAAATAGTATATCTGAATGTCTTGTGACATAAATTCATATGTTTATATATCTCTAGGAATTAGAATTATCCCTAAAAATTAGAAAACGAAGGAAGCAAATGACTTCAATTCAAAATAATATAATATGTAGGTGCATAAAATATTAATTATCACTTTAAATAGTAGTTAGCTTTGAGTTACTACAGTTGTTAAACCATGGGCTAGACAGCTTTTCAATAATGATATTAGAGGGAGGACTCAAACATGAGACGGTTGGGCTAGATAATATTTGAATTTCATTCCAATAGGTAAAGTCCACGACTCTATTTTTTCAGACTTGTACTTCTAATGAAAAAAAGTAGCCCTTTATATTTTACCTACATACCTTTTATGATCAATTAAAAATTAATTAATAGAAATATATATATTCTAATCAAGTAGATTGGGTTCTAATTCTGTTATTGTTTGACTTGGGGAATTTAATGACAGCACAGCAAAATAGTTAAGAGTGTGAGATCTGGAGTTATCCCTGCTGAATTTGAGTACTGATCTTCATTTTTGTATCCTAGGCACATAACCTCTATAAGAATCAATTGCCTCATCTGTAAGTTTGATATGATGCCACGTGAGGATGCTCTCAGGAGTAAATAAAATAATAGCTATAACATGCTTAGCAGAGTGTTTGGCCTGGCATATAATAAAGTCTCAATATATGCCATTTATCCTTCCCATCCTGGTTCCCCAGAAGTAAAATTGAAATTGTACTAGATCAGAAATATCACATAAGAGTAAGAGTACCACCCCTCTCACACTTATACAAAACATTTCCAAGCAACTGCGGCACAGAATCCTGAAGAGTCAGCCTTGTTTTCAGGATCCTTCTTAACACACCCTTCTAAACAATCACCATCAGTTAATCAAAATTGGCAGAGAAATTAAAGCCTACTTGTGCTGTCTGGACTTGATGGCACTAAGATTACTTGTGATGTTCTAGAACATGGTAGAAACTATAATAATAAAACAGGGTCATAGTATTGTAGATACGATGCTATTATTTAGCTTAAAAAATTTAAAATATAGTAAATACACACCCATGCACTCATCCACAGTACGTTATAAAGAATAGAATCCTATCCATTGTCCATGTTAAAAAAAAGAAACACTTGCCCCTCTTCACTATTCTCATCTTACTGAAGTCATGGTGAGAGTATTTCTGGAAAGAGTGGCTGTTGGTAGAATGAGAAAGAAAAACTGCAAGCATATAGCACCAATTCCACCACATTCACAGTATGTATATCTTACTATCATGTAGCATCAGATGCATAGTGTGAATAGCTATTTTGGGTCACAACAATATAGCCTGAGAATTGAATACATTTTTTAAGTTAGGCATGATTTGATTGTATTTGGCATAGAAGATTTAGAATGTGACAAAAAGTAAATTAATCTTAATGTAATATATCTCGCTTTTATCATCAACAATCTTTATTATTCTAATTATGGAAATCTGTTGGTGAACAATGGGCACAAACAGAATAAAAAGATTGGATGGTTTTTATTTAAGTTGCAATTGCTAACAACTCATACACAGTTAACATTTCAAATGAAAGGGCAAACAGTGTTCATGACTAAAATTAATGGAAACAGATGAGAATAATCTGTTCTCTTAATTTCTCTTATTGAAGCTCAGCTACACCTTACTGTCCTCCTGATGGTTGGCTATCAATCATTTGAGTCATGCATCTCTTTCATACAGATGACAGTCAAGCACCAGATACACTGGATGTGGGAATGTAGAAAATCTGATATTTCAAGTTGACCATCCAGATAGATTATCAAAGTTTTGTAATTGCATTTTGTAATTGTATTTTGTAATTGTCTTCTGTGGGTTTAATCTGCTATTTTTAATAGAGAAAATTATGAGAGATTAAATTTTCCATCTTCCTACTCTAGCACTTTTAATGCTACAAAAACATTTTAGAGACTGTAATGATTGTTCAATTTTCTGTCTTTAGGTACAACTTGTTAAGTACTTGAATCATCTGCCCAAAATTTATAAACAACATATAAGAAGCACTTTAACAAAGACGTTTGATGAACAAGTTGTTTTGGATTGGTTTACTTTTAATCACTTCATAGGAAATCCTAATGTTTCCCAGGTGAGTATTAGCAGGATTCTAAGAAATCATAAAAAGTTTTTCACAAAATAATAATTCATTTGGATTTATATTTGCAAATGTGATAGGTTTGCCTACCTATACAAGCACTAATGATGTAAGGGAAGGTATATAACAAAGACCTGAAATGAACATACATTTCACAAGTTTTAATTATATGATCTTGAAGTGTTTAAATTGCTGAATGTGTCAAAAATTATGTTAAGAAATAGGGGCCGGGCATGGTGGCTCACACCTGTAATCCCGTAACTTTGGGAGGCCGAGGCGGGTGGATCATTTGAGGTAGGGAGTTCGAGACCAGCCTGGCCAATATGGTGAAACCCCATCTCTAATAAAAAAAAAAAAAAAATTAGCCAGGCATGGTAGCGGGCACCTGTAATCCCAGCTACTTGGGAGGCAGGAGAATCACTTGAACCCTGGAGGCAGAGGTTGCAGTGAGCCTAGATTTCACCACTACACTCCAGCCTAGGCAACTGAGTGACACAACATCTTAAAAATAAAAAAAAAAAGAAAAAATAAATAGGAACAGTGGGAAGGAAAAATATCAAGAATCAAATACTTATTCTGAAATACAAAACAAAATTTATTTGCCTTTCTCCAAATTTTAAATGCTATCCTTTAAGAATGTTCCAAAATCAATCAGTTCTCAACTGTACAGTAGTTGTTAATATATCATTAGTTAAATGGGATATAAAATAAACAACAAATATACAAATATTGTTCTGCAAAAATATGTTGTAATTTGTTTTTGTTGTATTTATTTAGGAATAAATATTTTCTTCTAGAATAGCTGAATGTAGCCTAAAATACAACTTTATAGACATTCAAACTGTATTAAATTGCCAATTTTGAACCTTCTGTTCTTTAGAAATGGCAAATTCGTATTATTACATATAATATTTTTTAACAGAAAATACTTTTAAATAAAAACCTTTAAATTATACTAAATAGTTGCCATATTGGACTTAAACTACCTAAAAATACTAGTTTTATCTAGTTTTCATAGGGATATTTATATCAGAAAGGATATTTAAAGGAAAAGAATACCTTTAAGATTTTCAAAAAACAGTTGACAGGTGGAGTAAATTAGCCTGGAAGAGTGCCTGGTCTAGAGTCAACACCGCAATAAAACTATGAAATCTATTAAATACAAACAAGGCATTTTCTAAAAATATAATTTTTAATTAAGAAAAATTCAGACAGTACGTATGCGAACTATAAACATTTCATACTTGCCCACAAATGTTACAGTCCCTCTAAATATTAATTGATTCACTTATTTCTAATTATAACTTAATACGTAGTATTTACATAAGAAAGAGTAGAGAGCATTTCACAAGCTTAAAACATAATATAATACCTGCTTTTTCATAGGCATAACTTTCTTACTCAGATGTATTTCCCAAAAAAAAGTGGTTTTAAATAAGACATATAATCAAATCTATAAAAGATAAAATGTTTTCATTACACTTGAAACATACTGGATAATAGAACATTGAATGTTTCTCTCTCACAATCCATATTGTTCCTTTTATACGTGAATCCTTTTATAATGCAAAAGAGAAGAAAAAAGCTAAATTTCAGCAAATGAAAAAGAAACATGCAAAATAAGAGTAGGTACAGAAGTTTCTAGTCTGGAGGTCAGATCCAGGCATCATTATGTTGAAATTGATGTGGTCACACCCCCAGTGGTGATAGAAAAACATTTCACCTCAGGAACTATTTGAGATAAAGAGCAAATGAAGTTTACACAGTGTTTAATCGGAGTAGTGATAAGAGGTAGGAAGTAATGACACCCTGAAGTCGCAGCCTCAGGGAAATGGTTGACAAGAGTAATTTACCTAACACTTTGGAACCTCTAAAGTCTCTATCTAATAATTATCTCCCTGCCTCCCTAACCTTCATTTATCCACTCTCTTTTCATTCATTCTCTTCAATTCTTGGAGTGTGCTTCCACAGTTTGTTCCCTGACTTCTTAATTTGTCTGAGTCCGTCTCATAGAGTTTGCCCCCACTCCATACACACACACACATGAATGCCAAATTTATATTTTCTTTCCTTTTCTTTCTTATTGTGTCTATAGACTTCTTCTTAAGAAACTATATTATGAAACTCAAGTAAAATATTTAATATTTATTGGGCTTTTAGAATAAGACTTTATTTTTATTATAAAATTCAGATGAATAAAATATCACCTGTTTTTTAAAAATCTCTAACTAAATTAACTTACCTTTGACTTTTATTCAGCTACCATTATAAATGTAGTGACAAGAAATAGGAAAAAATTCTCTATTTTAATTTATACTTAGCAAAATATATGTTGGCACAATTAAACCTCATGGCAAGAATGAGGACCTGGAAACTTTGTCAGTTTTAAATCCCTTTCTATGTAATTTACTCACAAAATTTTGATTTAATCTTTGGCCTCACAGAAATAAATTAGGTACAAAAAACAGGTGTAGCTGGTGTTGTGTTAAATCAGTCAAATTCATTTTTTTCTTTTTCCACTAATGATACTTCCCATTGTTCTTAGTACAAACGTATGACTTCAAACAGCATGTATCAAAAGTCAATCAAGCATTTTATACATTTATATTAGCAGCAAATCATTAAGAACACCCAGCATCTAAAATTAGAAAAGTATTCTGGAGCAAGGCATTTCCTCCCTTGGCACTATCAAAAGCTCTTCTCAGAGGTAAATATTTTGTTCACACAACAGACATCAGCTGATTGTATAACCCCAGTAGGCCATAAAATGACCTTATTAATTGAAATGCATTGTAAATAATAGCAGGGATTTCACACAGCAAAGGCTGTACGCGAAACAAATTAAAAAAAACACACCAAATCTGGAGAAACTGGTTATGTGTGATGGCCAATAATACATTTATTTATTAATATATATTATAGTCTATTAATATACATAATGCAATATAATTACAGTATATATTGTAACAATATATCTCATTGTTCTGATATGCATGCACATTTGATGGGTGAATGTGATCAATTATTGAACTCAGAAATTAGTTAAGACTGCAAGTAAAAATACTTCTAAAAGATGGAATTTTCCTCCAATCTCAGAACACTTGGGAAAAGTCACTTTGTCATCATGACATGAACAAAACATGTCAAAATAAAAAGCTCTATTTTGTTTATCTATCTAAAAAAAAATCACCCTCTTGCATGTACAGCTGTTTACACATATATGCATGTCTGCATGTTCTTTGGGGGAAGAGGGCCTGTACCTTGTTTTTGTCCCTTAACCATTTATATCTGGATGCCTGGGAACCCCTAATTCGTTCACATAAATCTATTTTGTTCTTTGTAAGGGCTCTATATTAGTCCATGCCTATTGTGGATGTAACATAATTATTTAGCCTGCCAAATATTGTAGTCATTATGTTATTTCTGTAATTATGTGATTATAAACAACACTGCAAGAAATGTTCTTGTATATAAGTCAACTCAGACATATGTTAGTTTATTAGTAACAGTCCTACATGAAAAGAAAGATATAGCTCTTTTCATAGATTTTATCAAAATGTCCCTCAACAAAAAATATATAAAAAGGCATGTTCTGAAACCTCACTGACAATTTTTGTCAAACATTTTTGATGTCTACTAAGTATTTAGGTAAATATATTATGCCTCATTATTTTAATTTAAATTTTTCCAAGTAAATTGAACATCTTTTCACATGTTGTCTTTTTATGTCTATTCTTTGCCTACTTTTCTATGGGTTATTAAATTTTTTTGAATTTTCTAATTAGTCCTCTTCATATTTTAAACAATTGAGCATTTGGTCTTGCACACATATTGAAAATACTTTTCTATAATGTGATTTGTCTTTTAACTCTGTTAAGTATTTTTTCAACTGTATTGAAGCATAATTTAAATACAATAAAATAAACCAGTTTTAAGTGCAAAATTTGAGGTTTTATAACACATGACATAAAATTATTTCTGTCACTCAGACTGTCCTCATTCCCACTTCAAATCATTTCTTCCCTATTCACCTTCCCAAGCAATTATAGATCAAATTTTCATAACTATAAATTAGGTTTTTCTTTAATTGTATTTATTTATATTATTTTTATTTTATTTTTATATACTTATTTCTGTAACAATAGATTAGTTTTGTGTTCTAAAATGTTACACAGATCTGTCCCTAACCTTTACCTCCGGACTCTTATGGTGGGAAAAAAGAGGCTTTGAGACTTCACTGCCTAACAGCAGTGTTCTGGAACTCCATGCTGTCAATAAGGTAGTAGACAAATTAATTTGTGAGGGACTGGCTTCTTCACCTTATACTTTAGCATAAAAATTGATAAAGCAAGTTTTTAAAAATTTTCTCCAAGATGGCAGATAAGAGGTTTTTAGTGTGCCTCAGCCACTTGAAAACAGGAAAACGGTACATAAAGATCAACTCTGGGAGCTTTAATTCAAAAAGGAAAACAGGAATCCACTGGAATCTTGAAGGACAACCAAGATTCTGGGGAGGAAAACATTGGCAAACAGCCTCTGTGATGGAATCCAGCTGATAAAAGTGAGTACAGTACAGGAGGGAGGCAGAGAGCCTTCCTCCGTGACTTACCTTTCCACTGGGGATCGGAGAAACCCAGGCCAAGAGAGAGCACTTCGTTTCTCCCAAGCCTTGGAGCTAACATAGGGAGAGCCTTGGAGGACTGAGAGGAAAAGACATGGGGAAAAGCTACAGATATTTTCCCAGACCTTGGACCAAGAGCAGGGTGTCATTTTTAATCTGGGTGCACACAAAGTCAACCATTCTTTGGCAAAAAGGCAGTGTGGTCATGCAGGTGTTTTTGTCTCAGGCCAGAGATTGGGGCACTTGCTCTGGATTGTGGTAGCGGCCCCCACAGCCAGAATTGTGAAAAGCACCTCTACATTAGGCATAAGAATTGTGCTTTCCCCTATCACAGGCTTAGGGTGGGAGGAGTGCTGCCACAGCTACAGTGGGAAACAGAATTGAAGCCAAGGCCAGTTTGGCAATCTGGAACCAGTCTGTGTGTGTTATTGCTGGGTGCCCCAGCTTGCTCCCCTGAGATCACAGTGCAGTGGGGCTCTCTCCACTTCAACCCCAGGTAGAATTTCACCCATTCAGAACACACGCTTATCTGGACCACTAGCCTGAGCCACCCCACTCTTCCTGGGCATAGATCCTGGTGCAATGATGTCTTCTTTGCTCCATGCCCAGGCAGATCTCCAAGAATTTGGATCATACACTCACATGGACTAGTAATCTGAGGCACCACACGCCTCCTGTGCAGAGATCCTGGTGAAGGGGGCCCTCTTCACTTCACAACCAGTCAGATCTTCAGGCATTCAGGGCAACCACTGGCCTGGTTCAGCAGCCTGAGCTATGCCACCTTTCCTGAGCATAAACCATGGTACAATGCAATGCTCTCTTCTCCACACTCAGGCATATCTCTAGACATTCAGAGCACCTACTCACCTGGACCAGCAACCTGACCCACCCTGCCTTTCCTGTGCAAAGATTGTGGTATGTGGGGGATGGGACACTCTCTGCTCCACATCCAGGCACATCTCCAGGCATTTTGAGTAACTGCTTGCTTGGTTAGGCAGCCTGAGCCACCATACCCTTCCTCAACATAGATCACGGTGCAGCAATGCCCCGTCCGCTCCACACCCAGGCACATCTCCAGGCATTTGGAGCACCTGCTCACCCAGATTGGTAGCCTGAGCCACTTCACCCTGCCTGTGCAGAGATCCTAGAGCAGCAGGCCTCTCTGCTTCATACCCAGGTTGCACTCCAGTCATTCAGAGCTCCCACTTGCCTTGTTCAGCAGCCTAAGTCACACCACCTGTCCTGTAAAAAGATCCTTGTGCAGGGTCCCTTTCCACTCCACACCCAGTCAAATTTTCAGGCATTCAGAGCATCTGCTCACCTGAATCAACAGCCTACGCTGCCAAACCATTCCTTGCAGAGACTGTGAGGAAGCAGGGCCCTATCCAACCCAAGCCCAGGCAGATCTCCAGGCAGCTGGAGCACCAGTTCATCCGTATTACCAGCTTGAGATGCCCCACCCTTCCAGTACAGAGGCTGTGGTGCAGCAGGGTTCTATCAACTCCATGCCCAGGCAGATCTCCAAGTACCTGTAGCATCCACTCTCCTTGATTAGGAGTTTAGGCCACCCCTATCCCCAGCTTGTTCAGAGAACTTTGGTTTAAGGAGGTTTCCCAGCTCCATTCCTAGGCACACATCTGGGAACTTGCTGGTCACCCACTGGATTCTTCCTCAGCACTGGTGCTTATGCCTGCCATCAGGGGACTGGTGGTCAGTGCTTCCCAATCTAGCCTCATCCATCTCTCACCCATCTAGGGCTTGGCATTGAGCTCAGAACACTGTGCACTCCATGTAGAGAGCTTCTTTTGGTCAGCAAGGATCAAGTATATATCCAGCCATGTTAACTGCAGCCAGCTCTTACCCATAAGTGCCATCTACTGGCTGTACGTCAAACTGCACAACTCAATATAAAACCTGTCAAAAGAAGCATGTAGGGATGTAGAAGCAAAGCCAAAACACCCTACTCAATATTCTCTAAAGTCACACACCCTAAGGAAAGGGGGAAAGGAAAGAAAAAAATCAGTAATATTATTGAAAGAAAATTTAAAATCCTACTTGCATGAAAATAATTATAAACTAGAAGTGCTAGCATTTCCAGATGAGAAGGAACCAGCATAAGAATTCTGACAAACATGAAAAATCTGAACACACTAACACCACCCAACTATCACACTGTCTCTACAGAAATGGTCCCTAAACAAAATGGAAACTGAGAAATGATAGACAAAGAATTCAAATCATAGATTGCAAGGAAGCTCAATGAGATCCAAGACAAGGTGGAAATCAACAACAAGAAAAAAAAACCTTCTAAACAATACAGGAAATGAATGAATAAATAAATATATTAAATTGAAAATTTCCCTTAAGGAATTTAAAAATATAACTGAAACCTTTATCAATTAATTGGACCAAACAGAAGAAAGAATTTCAGAACTTGACCAGTCATTCATGCTTACCTAGTCAGACAAAAATAAAGAAAAAAGAATTTAGAAAATGAACCATCTTCAAGAAATATGGAATTATGTAAGATGACAAAACTTGTGAATTATTGGCATTCCTGAGAGAGAAGGAGAAAAAGCAAAACTGGAAAATATATTTGAGGTAATAATTCAATTTTTTAAAATTTTGCTAGAGGTAGACATTTAGATACAAGACATCCAGAGAACATTCTTGGGATAATATAAAAAATGGACACTACACCAAGGCATATAGTCACCAGAGTGCTGAAGGGCAATGTTAAACAAAAAATCTAAAAGGCAACTATAGGAAAAGATCACATTACATACAAAGTTTTAGCTATGACTTCTAAATTTCTTTTCAAATAATCGATATGTTAGTATGTTCAATTCTTTACCTTCTACTTTTAAACTTAACTTCCTCATAAAGCAACCTTTTTCGATTACCTGCTCCACCCTGACTCATTTCAATCACCTGCTCCTCCCTGACTCATTCCGATTACCCTGCTCTGTCATAACCATTTTTCCCCACCAAACCACTCACTGAGTCACTCTCTTTAAATTAACCAATCAGAATTAGTTTAGCCTGTGTAGTCTAGCCCTAGCCAATAGGGGAATGACACAGCAGCAGGGGCCACGTATGTCAGGGATAAGAACCCCTTCCCCTCCCTTGTCCAAGTGTGCGCTCACCATTGCTCCATCTGTAAGGGTGCACCCTTCTATAGAAGTACCTTGCCTTGCTGAGAATTAAAAAGAAAAATTTATATTCAAGTGCTATTTATTTTGTGGCACCGAAACTTTATATATAACAATTTGGGGGCTCGCCCACAATTACATTTCCCTCTGGGGATGGTCTCTGGTTCTCTCTCATGAGGAAGTACACACCCCGCTCCTTGTGGCAGCCTCAGGGGTGAGAAATCAGAACCCACCCAGTGCGAGGAATAACCTGAGCACTGAACAACGCAGAAAAAAGAAAAAAAGATTGGCCAGCAACCTAGCTTAAAGGATCCTGATACTGCTGCGATGACTCTGCGCACAGACCAAGGAAGGAGAAGCCACGGGAGCCGGTACAGTATTTCCCTGGTGGTCAGGACCCCCTCGGAGGGGGGTGTGGTGGTGAAGTACTCCTTGGTTGGGGTGGCTTAGAGGTTAAAAAGCGGCGAGACGTCTCCACTGGGGGGGTTTCAACCTCACATGAACCTCCAGTAGTAGAAAAGGCAAGAAATTTCCAGTGGGGAAATTGAGCCTCACCTCAAAAAGGCAAGAAATTTCCAGCGGGGAAATTGAGCCTCACCCCAAAAGGTGAGAAATTTCCAGTAAGGGAAATTGAACCTTGAACCTTATCCCAAACCATCAAGATGGGAAATACCCCAAGCAAGACAGGGAGCAAGGGGGATAAAGATGGTAACAAAGATATCCCCCCAGGTAGCCCCCTAGTCTCATGCTAAAACACTGGAAGGATAATAAAAGGACTAAACAGAGGAAAAAGCAACAAATGATAAAATATTACTGTTTTATTTGGACTCAGACCCATCCTCAAACCCTCAATATTCTGGCCAAAGTTTGGGTCGAATGAGTATGTGATGTGTAAGCTTCTAATCCGATATGTTAATGATAAAAGTCCAGTGTCTCAAGAGGAACTAGGCTATGCCCTTTGTTGGAGGCAAGGACCTGCTCTCCTTTTCTCCCTTAAAAACAAATAGGGAAAAACCCAATCTGGCACCTCAAAATGAAAAGTCAGAGGAGCCAGCTGTCATGCCTAAAGACTCCAGTGCATGGGATCCCCTAGACTATCTTCCCCCACTCAGTGTCCCCAATCTTTCCCCTCAGACAGCCACTGCCGCCTCAGATCCCATTCCAAATTCCCCCTCTACTCACATTATCCCTCCTCGTTATAACCCTGACTCTTAGGAATTACTGTCCCACCACCTGTTCCCTACCAACCTAAAGACCCTTCTCTAAAAGGATCCCAGCCTCCATCTGGAGAACCAAGGTCCTTGTCTACCAGGCCCCCTAAAGAGTATGGGGGAGCAGGGTTAAAGAATTCCAGAACTAAGAGGGAGGAAGGACAAGATAGGTGCTATAGACGTGGAAGAACAGGCCACTTCAAGAGAGGATGTCCTGAACAAAGAAAGGAGAAAGAAGCCCTTCCACTCATGACTTTCAAGGAAGAATGGGGGGTCAGGGGCTCTATCTCTTTTATCCTGAGTCCCACCAGGAGCCCTTGATAAATTTGGAGGTGGGACCTAAACATGAGCTTATCACCTTTTTAGTCGATTCAGAGTTTGCTCGCTCCTGTGTTTGTTTCCCCCCGTCTAATGTTGTCTCCTCCTCAGAGGAACTTAGTCTCTGGGGTAAAAGGGGAAGGAGAGGGGAGAACAGCAGCATAAGCAGCTGGCAGAGGCAGGGAAAGACCAGCAGAGAGGAAAGAGAGAGAGAGAGAAAGGAAGCAGAGAGAAAGAGAGGAAAAACAGAAACAGAGAGAAAATGAGTGGCAGAGAGAGAGGAAGACAGAGACAAAGAGGGAGTCAGAGAGAAAGAGAGAGACAGAGTCAAAGAGAGAAAGAAAGAGAGAGACATAGAAGTAGTAAAGAGAAAACAATGTACCCTATTCCTTTAAAAGCCAGGGTAAATTTAAAACCTATAATTGATAATTAAAGGTCTTCTCCGTGACACTATAACACTCCAATACCACCTTGTTGTCAGTATAAACGAGGGCATAGCCCGAAAGCACTGAGGCCACTGACAACCCGTAGCCTTCCTAATCAAAAATCCTTAACCCGGTAACCCAGGATGGCCCACATGCATTTAATCTGTAGTGGCAACTACTTTGCTAGCAGAAGAAAGTAGAAAAATAGCTTTTAGAGGAAACCTCATTGTGAGCACACCTCACCAGTTCAGAACTAGCCTAAGTCAAAAAAAAAAAGGAAAAAGGAAAAAGGTAGCTTACCAACTCAAAAATCTTAAAAATCTTAAAGTATCGGGCTATTCTGTTAGAAAAAGACGATTTAACACTAACCACTGAAAATTCCCTTAACCCAGCAGGTTTCCTAACAGGGGATCTAAATCTTAATTACCATACAAAGTTCCGACCAGACCTAGGAGGAACTCCCTTCAGTACAGTACCATAGATAGATGGTTCCTCCCAGGTGATTGAGGGAAAAAGACACGATGGGTATTCAGTAATTGATCGGAAAACTCTTGTAAGAGCAGAGTTAGGAAAATTGCCTAATAATTGGTCTGCTCAAATGTTTGAGCTGTTTGCACCCAGTCAAGCCTTAAAGTATTTACAGAACCAGGAAAGAACCATCTATACCAATTCTAAGTTAATTTGGACTAAACAAGGTCTTATTAATAACGAAAGATAATTGAAATCCCAAACTTACAAGGTTTTCAACAAAAGTAAAATTTGCTACAAGTTAACAGTGTAACATATATTACCCTAACTTCTAATCTTGTGGCCTTAGGCAGTCTAGTCCACAGACATGAAGGAAGTTCGCCTTGGAAAAGAATGGTTATCATCTTTGGAAAAAAAAAAAAAGGGAGAATTTATGTAAAAAGAATGTTATATGGTAAATTATTGTCCTAAAAAATTAACTGGTTGTTTAAAGAAAGGGATGTTTGCAACAAGTCAGAAAGTTGAAGCGTGTTGAAGAATTGTCTGTGAAAGTCGTGGAAAAATAAAACTGTATTGTAAAAGGGAATTTATGCAAGAAATGTATAATTTAAAAGTAATTAGGCCTCCTGAATGTAAAACTATTAAAGAAACAGTTTATGTGAAAGGTGTATAAGGAAAGTAAAATATACTTTTGGTAAAAGGATTATACGGAGGCATAATAATGTGGATTTTTATCTACATTAAAAGGTTAAAAAATGTTCTGTTTTGAAGGTTTAAGCAAGTTTTAAAATGTTAATTGTAAAGGAAATTCTGTGTGTAAACATATTGGCTAAAGTTAAAAAGGTATCATCCAGTTTTTCTGTGAATTGGACATTAAAATTAAAGCACAACAGATTTTTCTTAAAGCACTAACTTGCTCTTTAACAAAAATTATAAAAGGTTAAAAGCAGTCTATAAAAAATCTTACCTTATGGTTAGATGTTAAAATTAAATAAATATGTCTATAAGATTTTTTTAAAATTGAGTTTAACATTAAAAACACACTAATACAAAGGTGAAATTTAGCTTATCTGGTATAAAAATCATACAGGAAGCATTGTTAAATATAAAGTGGTGTTTGGCTTTCTTTGGTCTAAAAACTAATAAAAATAGGTGCTAAAGGAAATTTCTCAGTAAGAAGGCACCAAAGACTATAAAGTCCACTGCTGATGTCCCCATATTTAAAACAAAAGATCAATTTCTTAGAAATTATATACTTGGTTTATCTTCCCCTTTCCTTTCCCTCAAAACTAAAAGTCTTTCAGCACAGGTACCACCCCTAGAATTTCCAGTAAGCCAGCACCAGCTTGAAGATCATTCTCATCAAAGGGTGGAAAGAAGGAAAAGTTGAGCCAGCCTGGGAAGGACCCTACCTTTTGCTGCTAACCACTGAGACTGCTGTTCATACAGCATAAAGGGGATGGACTCATCACATCCAAGTCAAGAAAGCGCCGCCCCCTCCAGAGTCGTGGGCCATGGTCCCAGGGGAAAAACCCTACCAAACTAACGCTAAAAAAAAATTTAACTCTCTTTCTTCTACGCTATTACTCTTTCTTCTTTCCTCACTCTATTGCTGACCAACTAGTTATTAACATAACCAAGTCAATTTTGCCTCAAACTATTGCATTTAATGCTTGCCTTGTTATACCCTGTGGGGACCTGCCAAGTCAAAGACCGCTCTCTACTTCAGAAAAGCACCTCTGTCCCTCCTGACTCTCCTCAGACTGGGCACTAGTGAATTGGGACCATTTAATCCAGGGAGATTTCAATAAAGACCCCAGTGTCAACCAGGAGTCTTGCTCCCCAATCTAGAGCTTTTATGCCATAGTTAGTCCAACGTTCTGTGGACCACTAAAGAACAACAATGGACTGCCCCAACCAGTTTTTGTAGTTTCCTAAAACCATACATTCATTTTACTAGAGGGACAGCCCTCCCCGCTAACTGTCGGCTAAACCAGTGTAATTCTATATGGGTTATTATCTCAAACCTTCAAAGTTCTTCCCCTTTTCTAAGCCGGTTCCCTTCTTTAAGCCAGTTTTATGGTATGGGGACTGAGGTTTCAGGGACAAACCCTGTTAGATTCTTTGAAGTGCATTTCTTTGATCCCCCACCACCTGCACCTTCCTCTAAGCCTTCTTCCAAAACCTCTTACAATGGAACAATTGTTCCTCCTCCATCTAACAACAAGACCAAGATAGCTATTGTAAAAGTTAAAGACTTAAAACATACTTTGGCAATTAAGACAGGATACCAAGATGCAAATGCCTGGTTGGAATGGATCAAATATTCTGTCTGCATGTTAAACAAAAGCAATTGTTATGCTGTGCGCATAGCAGGCCAGAGGCCCAGATTGTCCCCTTTCCACTAAGGTGGTCCTCCAGTTGATGGGGCATGGGCTGCATGGTAGCTCTTTTCCAGGATTCTACAGCCTGGAGTAATAAGTCATGCCAAGATCTCTCTCTGCTATATCCTGAAGTCCGGCACCCTGAGGGCCATCCAGCTTCCATCTCCCACCACTAAGTTCACTTTGTGTCTCTCATGACAGGGAGGAAAGTTAGTGTTCCTTGGAGACCTGAAGGGATGCAGTGAACTTAAGGATTTAAAAGAGCTTATCAATCAGCCCTTGTTCATCCCCGAGCAGATGTGTGGTGGTATTGTGGTGGACCTTTACTGGACACTCTGCTGAATAACTGGAGCGGTACTTGTGCTTTAGTCCAATCGGCTATCCCATTCACCCTGGAATTTTATCAACCAGAGGAAGGAAAAAAAGACATCGTAAAGTGAGAGAAGCCCCTTATGGGTCTTTCGACTCTCACGTCTATTTAGACACAATTGGAGTCCCACAGGGAATACCAGATCAATTTAAAACCCGAAATCAAATAGCTGCAGAATTTAAGTAAATATTTTGGTAGGTGACAATAAAAATGTAGATTGGATAAGCTACATCTACTAAGCCAAGACATGTTAAAAAGTTTGAAAAGAAAACTGTAAGGAAATACAAGGGGAGGGGTTGTTAGATATGAGTCCTCCTGCAACATACCATCTCACACCATTCAGAATGGCCATTATTAGTACATGTGCTGTTGAAGAAAGCAATAACAGATGCTGGTGAGGCTGTGGAGAAAAGTGAACGCTTATACACTGTTGATGGGGAGTAGTTCAGCCACTGTTGAAAGCAGTTTGGATATTTCTC
The DNA here is from genome assembly GCF_000001405.40 of Homo sapiens. NCBI lineage: Eukaryota > Metazoa > Chordata > Mammalia > Primates > Hominidae > Homo > Homo sapiens. The sequence continues at coordinate 89,630,170 of NC_000007.14, forward strand.
AAATAACTTAAAACAGAATTATCATTTGACTGAGCAATCTTATTACTAAGTATGCATCCAAAAGAAAGTAAAGTGTTCTACCAAAAAGACACATGTGCTTGTATGTTCACTACTGCAATAATAGCAAAGACATGGAATCAGTCTAGGTGCCCATCAATGGTGGATTGGATAAAGAAAATATGGCACATATACACCATGGAACACTATGCAGCCACAAAAAGGAAATTATGTCATTTAGAACAATATGGAGGCAGCTATAAGACATTATCCTAAGTGAGTTAATGCAGAAAGAGAAAGTCAAATACTGCAGGTTGTCACTTACAAGTGGGAGCTAAACATGGTGTACTGATGGACATAAACATGGCAACAATAGGCAGTGGGGAATACTAGAGTGGGGAGGGAGGCAAGGTTTGAAAAACTAACTGTTGGGTACTATGCTTACTATATAGGGAATCATTCACATCCCAAACCTCTGCATCACATAATATACCCAGGTATGAAGCCTGCACACATACTGCCTGAATCTAAAATAAAATTTGAAATTATAAAAAAAATAAAAAGGTAAAGAAAACTTTAAATAAATACATAGTATGTACTCTTTTCTATTTCTGGCTTATTTCACTTGGCCCTATGTTTTAGTGCATATCTATCTTGTATCTGTAGTGTATTCTTTTTTACTCCTGTGGAGTGTTATATATGAATATACAAATGTTTTAATCCATTCATCAGTTAATAGACATTAAGGTTGTTTCCTATTTTGATAATATAAATAAATGTATGTGCAAGACTTTGTGTGAGTATAGTTTCAATCCTTTTGCATAAATACCTAAGAATAGGATTGCTAGCTCTATTTTAAGTGTGTATTTAACCTTATCAGAAATTGTCTGATATGGCTTGGATGTGTGTCCCTTCATATTGACATGTAATACCCAATGTTGCAGGTGGAGCCTAGTGGGAGGTATTTGGGTCATGGGGGCTGATCCCTTTTGAATGGCTTCATGCCATCCTTGCAGTAATGAGTGCGTTCTCACTGTATGAGCTCACATGATACCTGGTCCCTTAACAGAGCCTGGAATCTCCTCCTGTCTCTTCCCCCTGCTCTTGCCATGGGACACACTTGCTTCCCCTTTGCCTTATGCCATGAGTGGAATTTTCCTGATGCCCACACCAGAAGGCGAGCAGATGCTAGTGCCATTCTTCTTGTAAAGCCTCTATAACTGTGAGCCAAAATAAACCTCTTTTCTTTATAAATTACCCAGCCTCAAGTATTTATTTATAGCAATGCGAATGGACTAACACAGCATCAAACTGATTTTCAAAGTAGCTGGAAACTTTACTTTTCTGTCAGCAATATATGAGAGTTCCATTTGTCTGACATTCAGACAGTCTTTTAAATGTTCAAGTTGATGTGTTGTGGTATTTTATAATGGTTTTATTTAAAATGGCTGATGAATAGTGATGTTGAGTATGATTTAAATGCTTCTTTGCCAGTAACATACTATGTTTTATGAAGAATTTGTTCAAAACTTTCACTATTTGTTTTTATTGGGTTATCTTTACTTTATTGAACTTTAAGAACTATTTATACATTATGAATGCTAGCTTTTCATCTGATATACATGCAAGCGCATATGGACACGCACACTTTTCACCCAGTCGGGTTTGCCTTGTTATTTTTCCGAACATTTTTTTTAATGACCCAAAGTTAAGTTCTCAATGTTAATAACATCTGATTGATCAATATTTTTCTTTTATAATCTGTGCTTTTTCTATCAAATCTAAAAATTCTTTGCATCTCCAAATTCTCAAAATTATTTTCATATGTTTTATTTTATATTTCTATAGTTTTAGATTTTATATTTAGGTTCATAAGATCTTTTTAGATGATGTTCATGTCATGGTGAGTTATTGCAAGACATTTACTTTTGTCCATAAGGTATCTAATTATTTCAGAGTCATTTTTTGAAAACACTATTTTGCTTCTTTGGATTACCTTCACATTTTTATTAAAATGAAACTTACCATATAAATATGGGTCTACTTCTGGACCCTATTCAGTTTCATTGATCTATATGTCTATCCTTCAAAAATAATAAGCTATCTAGATTATTGTAACTTTATAACAAGCCTTGAATTCAGATAGTTTTTAAATTGATACATAATAATTTACATATCTATAAGGTACGTGTAATATTTTGTTACATGTGTAGAATGTGTAATGATCAAATCAGGGTATTTGGCATATCCATCACCTTGAGTATATATCATTTCTATGGGTTGGGAGCAATTCAAGTCTGCACTTCTAGCTACTCTGAAATTTATAATACATCGTTGTTAACATAGGGAAAACACTCCAGGACATTGGTCTAGGCAACAATTTTATGGCTAAAACCTAATCTGCTGTTGAACATTGGAACTTGGGTCTTCCATCAGACTATATATTTGTACTCATTAACCAGCCTTTCTTCATCCGTTACATCCACCCACACACTTCCCAGCCACTAGCATCTTTCTACTATCTATGTCATGAGATCAACTATTTTAGCCCCCACATATGAGTGAGAACATATGATATTTGTCTCTGTGCCTGGCTTATTTTACTTAATATAATAACTTCCAGTTCCATTTATGTTACTGCAAATGACATAATTTTATTCTTTTATCTGGCTGAATTGAATTTCACTGTGTATATATACCATATTTCCTTTATTATCTATCCATTGATGGACACTGAGGTTGATTACATGGCTTTGCTATTGTGAATAGTGCTGCAATAAAGATGTGAGTCCAGGTATCCTTTTGACATGCTGATTTCTTTTCCTTTGGATAAACACCAAATAGTGTGATTGCTGCATCGTATAGTAGTTATATTTTTAGTTTCTTGAGAAATCGCCACAATATTTTCCACAGCATCTGTTCTAACTTACCTTTCCACCAAGTGTACAAAACATTCCTTTTCTTCACATTCTCACCAGCATCTGTTATTTTCTGTCTTTTTGATAACAGCCATTTTGACTGACTTAAGAAGAAATTTCATTGTGGTTTTGATTTCCATTTCCCTAATGATGAGGGATGTTGAGCATTTTTTATATACCTGTTGGCCATTTGTATACTTTGTTTTGAAAAATGTCTTTTCATGTCCTTTGCTCACTTTTTAATGGGACTATGTTTTTTTTGCTGTTGTTCAGTTCCTTATATATTCTAGATATTAGTCCCTTGTCTGCTGAATAGTATACAAATATTTTATCTCATTCAACAGATTGTCTCTTCACTCTGTTGATTATTTCCTTTGCTGCACAGAAGACTTTTGTTTAACATTCTCCCATGTGTCTAATTTTGTTGTTGATGATGCCTGTGCTTTTGAGGTCTTAGCCATAAAATCATTGCCTAGACCAATGTCCTGGAGTGTTTTCCCTATGTTTTCTTCTAGTAGTTTTATTTTGGGGTCTTGCATTTAAGTCTTTCCTCCAACCTGTGTTGATTTTTGTATATAGTGAGAGAATGGGTCCAGTTTCATTCTTCTGTATATAGATATCCAGTCCTTCCAGCACCATTTATTGAAGAGTTTGTTCTTTCCCTAATTATGTTCTTGGTAACTTTGTCAAAAATCACTTGGCTGTAAGTACATGTATTTATTTCTGGTTTTTCTATGCAGTTCCATTAGTCTATGTGTCTGCTTTTATGCCAATATCATTCTGTTTTAGCCCATATAACCTTGTAATATATTTTGATGTCAGATAGTGTGATGTCTCCAGCTTTGTGCTTTTTGCCCAGAATTGCTTTGGCTCTTCAGGCTCCCGTTTGGTTCTATATAAAATTTTGCATTATTTTTTCTATTTCTGTAATAAATGATGATCATATATTCATAAAGACTGCATGAAATCCATATCAAACAAAATATTATATGATATTTCATAGTCGATTTCTTTGGGCAGTATGGTCACTTAAACAATATTAATTTTTCTTATCCATGAGAATGTGATGTTGTTCCATTTGTCTGTATACTCTTCAATTTCTTTCAACAGTGTTTTGTAGTTTTCCTTCTAGGAGTCTTTCACCGCCCTGATTACATTTATTACTAGATATTTTATTTTTTGTTGCTATTAGAAATGGAATTGCCTTCTTCATTTGTGTTCTCATCAAGATTATTATGTGTATAGAAATGCTACTCATACTGTATGTTGATTTTGTATCCCGCAGTTTTACTGAATTTTAAAATCAGATCTAAGGGGTTTTTAAGTGGCATCTTTACATTTTTCTAGATACAAAATAAATGTCAAAAGAACCATTTTTCTATTTCTGTAATAAATCATGCTCATATTTTTATAGAGATTGCATGAAATCCATATCAAACAAAATATTATATAATATTTTAATATATGATAATATTTCAAATAGCCAAATGGACTATTTGACTTCTTTTTCAACTTGGCTATCTTTTACTTCTTTCTTTTGACTGATTGCTCTAGATGGAACTTCCAGTACTATGCTAAATAGGAGTGGTGAAAGTGGGCATCCTTGTCTTGTTCCAGTTCTTGGAGGAAAAGAGTTCAGCTTTTCCCAATTCAGTATGATGTTAACTGCTGATTTGACATACATGGTGTTTATTATGTTGAGGGATGTTCTTTCTATGCCTAGTTTGTTGAGAGTTTTTATTATGAAGGGATGTTGAATTTTACCAAATGCTTCTTCTGCATATTTTGAGATGATTGTATGGGTTTTGTCCTTTGTTCTTTTGATGTGATGTATCAAATTTATTGATTTGCATATGTTGAATCATTGTTGCATCTTTGGAATAAATTCCACTTTATCATGGTGTATTATCTTTTTGATGTGATGTTGGACTTGATTTGCTAGTATCTTGTTGAGAATTTTTGCATCTATTTTTGTTAGGGATACTGGCCTGTAGATTTCTGGGTTTTGTTGTTGTTGTTGCACCTTTGGTTTTAGGATCAGGGTAATGCTGGCCTCATAGAATTAGGGAGAATTCCCTCCTCCTCAATTTTTTGGAATAGTTTGAGAATAATTGGTATTAGTTCTTTGAAAATTTGGTAGAATTTGGCAGTGAAGCCAAATGGACCTGAAATTTTCTCTATTGGGAGAGTTTTTATTACTGATTCAACCTCAATATTCATTATTGGTCTGTACATATTTTCTATTTTCTCCTTTCAATCTTGGTAGTTTGTATTTGTCCAGGAATGTATCCATTACCTCTAGGTTTTCATTTTGTTACTGTATAGTTTTTTCATAATAGTCTTGGAAGATCTTTTGTATTTTTGTAGTGTCAGTTGTACTGTTTCCTTTTTCCTTTCTGATTTTACTTATTTGGGTCTTCTCTCTTTTTGCCTGATTAGTCTAGCAAGCATTTTTGTTTATCTTTAAAAAAAAAACCCACTTTTCATTTTGTTGATCTTTTGTATCTTGTTTTTAGTTTCTATTTCATTTTGTCCTGCTCTGATGTTTATTATTTCTTTCCTTCTACTAATTTTGAATTTAGTTTGTTCTTGCTTTTCTAGTTCACTGAGGTACATAATTAAATTGTTTATTTAAAAATTTCTACTTTCTAAATGTAGGCATTCATTTTTGTAAGCTTCTTTTTTGCAATGCTTTTGCCGTATCCTGAAAGTTTTGATACGTTGTGTTTGATTCTTATTTGTTTCAAAAAATTCTTTGAATTCCTCATGAGTTTCTTGTATGCAGGATGTAATTAGGTCATTTTTAAAATCTATTCAGCCAGTCTCTATCTTCTAAGTGGAAACTTTAATCCATTTACATTGAAGGTTATTATTGATATGTGAAGGCTTATTCCTGTCATTTTATTTATTGATTTCTGGTTGTGTTGAATATCCTTTGTTCCTTTCTTTCTTTCTTTTTGTTTTTCACTGTGGTAGGGTGGAGCTTAATTGGGCAGACCTGTCCTCAGGGACCCTGGTGGTGCATGTCAAGCAAGGCTGGCTGTGGTAGTCAATGGGCCAGGTGATAACCAGGTCTCTGGTGGTATGTCAGATGGGGGGCCACAGTGGCTGTACTGTGACCATGTTACTGGAGGAGGTGAAGTAGCTTTCAGTGGAAGCCTCCATAGGCAGGAAGCTAGGGACACAAACTTTGCTAATGCTTTAGCCCCAGAGGCTACAACCCAGCACAGCAGCAGCTATGAGCAGTGAAATTTACCCTTGAGGTACACAAAAAAATGCCCCATTATCCCTTTGCTGTGGGAGCAGTGCTGATGCTAGTGGCTCGCTCTTTGGTCCTGGCTCTGACTCCACCAGCAGTAACAACCAGCAGTGGTGGAGGCTGTGGGTGCAATAGACTTTTATCATGGCCACTCTTCTGGAAGATGTCACTGCCAGCAACTCCTGACTCAGCTTTGGCAGCAGCTGCCGCATCGAAGACTGTTGTGAGTGGGGAAAGGTAATGGGGCTGCAGGAATGTGAGGATGTAGGGACTTTGGGACCTCCAAGGCAGGATGCAGTCTAGACCTCCAAGGCTTGGCTTTCAAAATGGCACCTTGTTGTAGCTGCTTAGGACTCTGGGGGTGTGTTGGATCCAGAATAAGCTCACTCTCTAAAGCAGTACCTTCTCACAGTCTCCGGGCAGTTTCCAGTGATGGTCTTAGGTCCTGTAAGGGTCAAAGGACCCTCCCATGGCTAGGATTGAAGGAGTCCCTAATGGGAATGTGTACTACTGGGGATCTCTCACTTATTCTTTTTCCAAACTGGATAGTCTCTCCAGGCTCCCAGGTGACCCTAGCTGAGCAGGCTGCCTCACTTCCCTCCCCTTCCTTGATTTAGGTGTTTCTTGTCACTTCTCTGTTGAATTCCAGTATTCCATCTTAGAAGATCTATTCAAAGTGTGGTTATCTACCTGCTATTTTGTTTCTTCTTTGTGGAAGAGGCAAGTACCTGATGTGTCCAGTCAGCTATCTGGAAGTCAGATAGTTTAAGTCTTCCTATTATTTTTCTTTTTCAAAATTGTTCTGGTAATCTATTATATTTTAAAATATACATTTCAGAGTTAGTCAGTTTCCACAAAAAAAGACCTTATACAGATTCAATGAAATTACATTGAATCTATAAATCAATCTGAGAAAAGTAGATATCTTAACAATATTGAGATCATAAATCTATAAGCATGATGTGTTTATTGATTTATTTAGATATTCTTTAATTTATCTCATCTGTATTTTGTAGTTTTCCTCAAACAGATCTTGTGTTTACTTTCTTATATTTATCTTTAAGAGTTTCATGTATTTTGAGGCTATTACATTTGGTATTTTAAATTTTGCATTTTCTAGTTGTATATTGATAGCATATAGAAACAGTTGGTAAACAAACTTAGTTCTTACAGATATCTGTGGATTCTTTCAGGTTAACTGTGTACATGCTCATGTAGTCTATAAATAAATATTGTTTACTACTTTCTTATATATATATTATTTCCTTTCATGTCATATTGCATTGGCCATGACCACAAATACAAAGTTGAATAAAGAAGTAACAACCATATATTTTTCCTGATTTTGAGAGAAATGTATTTAGTCTTTATTAAGTGTGATTTAACTCTAGGTTTTCTGTTTTGTTTTGTTTTCTTTTCTTTTTTTGAGACAGAGTCTCCCTCTGTTGCTCAGGCTGGAGTGCAGTGGTATAATCTCAGGTCCCTACAGCCTTGGCCTACCAAGTTCAAGTGATCCTCCTGCCTCAGCCCCACGAGTAGCTGGGACTACAAGCATGCACCACCACTCTGGCTAGTATTTTTGTACTTTTTGTAGAGATGAGTTTTGCCATGTTTCCCAGGCTGATCTCTAACTCCTGGTCTCAATTGATCCACCCACCTCAGCCACCCAAAGTGCTAGGATTACAGATGTGAGTCACTGTGCCTGGTCAATGATTTAATTCTAGGTTTTTGGTAAATTTATTTAATTAATTTGAATAGACCTACATCACTCCACTAAAATCCAACATCTCCATCATTTACTAAATTTCTATAAGTATATGAACTTATTTCTGTGTCATTACAAACTTTTATTAATTATTACTTTCTATTTGTGTACTATTAACATGTTTTCATTACTCTGCCCTTACTTCATTTATTTATTTATTATTTATTTATTTATTTTTACACAGAGTCTTGCTCTGTTGCCCATGCTGGAGTGCAATGGTGCAGTCTCAGCTCACCGTAAGTTCCGCCCGCTGGGTTCCTGTCATTCTCCTGCCTCAGCCTCCCAAGTAGCTGGGACTACAGGCACATGCTACCACACCTGGCTAATTTTTCATATTTTTAGTAGAGATGGGGTTTCACTGTGTTAGCCAGGATGGTCTTGATCTCCTGACCTCGTGATCTCCCCACCTCGGCCTCCTAAAGTGCTGGGATTGCAGGCGTGAGCCACCGCGCCCGGCCTACTTTACATTTTAATGACTGTTTTGAATAGATATTAATTATATCCCCTACCACTCCCCTCAATATTCTGACTATTCTTATTACAAGCTTTGTAATTAGCTTCTCTGGTTCTTCAGAGAGTGTATAGTTAATTTTATTGACATGTTGGGATTTTGAAAATTTATATATTAATCTACAGACTATTCCTTATTATAATAATGAGTTTAAAAGTATTTGTTTTATTTGTTCTAGTCATTTTTTGTGTCTTTTAAGAATATTTCAAAGAGTTTTTCATAGGAAGCTTGTCAATTTGCTGTTAGACTTATTCTTAATGTCTTTTATCTTTTTAAATAACTTTCTCTATTAATAGGAGTCCTTCTGTGACACCTTCCTGAAGTTTCTGCTTCTTAATTGCCCTGCCTTTACTCAATTGTTGATGTTCATCATCAAACCATTCAGCATGTAAGCACTGAGAGGAACTCCACTGAATTTCTTGAGGTTCAAAACATAGTTCAGATGGCATTTTCAATGTCCAAATTCAATGAAACCATTGATATGTTCCTTACTGTAAGCATTCTCCTTTGAAAATCAAGATTCTTAAAGAAGCAATGAGCAGAGTTATCAGGACAAAAGAGAAAAATGATTCAGATAATTAAGTAACCCTAAAGGAGATTATTTCTACTTCCACCCCTATATTCCTGTATATGTGAATTGTGGCCAGGGTAGTGGCTTTATATTGGTCAATATCTCAAAGTTTATATAATTCTTGCAGGGCACCACCCAACTGCACAGGATGTTGTCCTAGCCCACACTGTAACTCTGGTTTCAGTAAGATAGTCTGAATTTTGATAAGACAGATACTTCTAGATGTGAGACCTGTAATAACACCAATGATTTACATAACAGGAGGATATGGGATACTGACAGCTTCTAATGCATTCTGTAAGTCCAGTAGAGTAGTGATGGCAGCATTGCAGGATGGAAAGACCTGTAAAATACCTGCAGAGAACAGGTGTATATTCAACCCATGAGGGAAAATCCCTCACCTCAAAGGAGAAAGAAGTACAAAGTAACCAATCTTCCACAGGGTAGCTGGTTGCCTTTCCCCTCTCTTTGAACAAAGACATATTGTGGGCTCAGTTTTGGAATCTGGTATTGGCAAGTTGAGCTCTTGGTAATGGAAGTAGCCAGAGGATATTTGGTAATGGAAGTAGCCAGAGGAAAACAATGTTTGAAGGGGTCAATTTCTGTGATAGAGAGCAGGGCAGGACAAGCATAAAAAGCAGATATAAAAGCAACCAGGCAAATCACTGGCATAGGAGCTTTCTTGTGATAACTTTCATATGTACTTCCACTTTCTCCCCTCCAATCTTACCGTGTTATTTTAGTACTTCTAGTATCTCCCCTTACACATTTAAATACACATATCCTGTTCTGATTTCATCAAGTTTATATTAATATGATGTAATCCATAATTTTAAAGGGTAAAGCAATCTGCATACTAACATCATCTCTAAATAGGAAATCTAGAGTTTTTTTGGCCAGTTCTCTTCACAAAGGGTGATGGTGTTATTGTTTTTACTTTTTAAAATATTTTTTTTTTCATTTTCTGTTCTGAAACCATAATTGCTTGGCCCTTCAGTTGAATAGGTTGAATGTTCATCTATACCATGCCCTTTTTCCACTGTTTCTCCATTAATCTCTCACTTGTCTTTAATTGGCACAGGAGTTTTCCCCTGAAAATCCTTTGAACTCTTATTCTAAGGATGAGATTTTTTTTTTTTTGCTAATCCATAGAAAAATGGTCACTATTTCTATTTGATTTATGAAAACTGTTTTTTTAATGAATGTTCTTAATTTGTTGTTTCTATTATCCCTTTTCTCCTTCGTAGGTTCCTTTTTTTGTAATTCATCTTGTTAATAAAGTTCTTCCTCACCTAGTTAATTTCAGAAAATTAATGTCAAGTAGGATAAGGCATTAATTCAGGCTAGCAAGGATTCTTTCTGGTTAACATAAATTCCTTATGAGATGGTTTATGAAATGACTATATTTAATTCAAATTTTAGATTCCTTTTTCAGAATAAAACAGGCTACTCGCTGTTCACAAGGTTATTTCTGAGGTGCAAAATTATCTTCTTCTCTCTGTCTATGTTTTTATACATCCTGAATTCCCCCATGCAACCTTGGCTGACACACTCAGACAGAAAAAACGTGCAAGGGCACTTTTTTCTTGCATCTGTAGTGGAAACCTAAATGGGTTTAGTTTTTTGTTGTTGCTGTTGTTTTGCTTTGTTTTTTCAATGTTTATTTCTTCTTCAGTGTCAAAATTCAGCAAATATATTCTGGCTCCTTCAGAATCTTCTCTTCCTCATCAAAATGGTGTCACTGTGTGTTTCCTTTTCAGTCTCAGAAACTTGATTTTCAATGGGCCAAAGATGGTTCTAGCCAAGAGCCCATGCAACCATTTCTACTTCATAAAACAAAAATCAGTTTTGGGTTTGGACCTATATGGTACCACTCTATCAACTTTGGGCAGCTCCATGCTGCTACCTTTTTCTAAGATTTATAGTAATTATGTTTTCTGTGGACACCTTCTCTTTCCCTTTTTGATATTCACCGCATTAAGAGGCCCTTTCTCCTAGCTACAATAAAGTACAAAAGAACAAGTATCAATTTTACTTTGAAATTCTAATACAGTAACAATACAATAATTAATATGCAATAAAATCCAATTCCATTTAGCTTACAAAACTTTCGTAGATTAATGTTTCTGTAAACTATACCAACTTTTTTTTTTTTTACTATTTCATCTGGCATGAGAAAATCATCATATAGTTTTAATCCAACATTCTCTATTAACATGAGTTTCTATGATACAAAAAGACAGAGAAAAGAAAGAAAAATTACGTTGATCCTACCATTGTTTCTTCACTAGTATAATTACATTTATTCATTTATTATTTTTCCATTTATTTTAAAATGATTAAAAACCTAGTAAACTATGTAACTACATGAGGCTTATGGCTCAATAACCTGATCATTTCCCAGAGTGGGGAAAAAACATGAAAATAAATGCAGTTTAATATGTGTTAAATAGGTATCTATATAAAGATGCAATGGGCATACCAAGAAGGGGAGAATTGAATAAGAGCTTTTATTCCTTTCTCAACTAGTAGATAAATTATTTTTAAAATAGCACTAAAAATCACAATTAAAATGTATTTGCTGACAGTCTAAAGCTCATTGTCAAAGAAGAAAAAATGGTAGAGACTAAGCTAATGCTACTGTAAGAAGATTTAAACTCTCTCTGTCACTGTGTAAGAATCTGATGAATGGAAGATTGCAGGTAACATGGTATAAACTAGGGTATCAGAGATTCAGAAAAAAATGAGGCTGTTTAGATGCTCCTGAAGAATGCTGAGTGGGAGTGCAAGAGATTTAAAAATTCAGTAATTTTTTGTAAATGCCATCACATGTTGTTCTTTCCAGCGTAAGGAATGGTCCCAAATGCCTTGACATTTAACCATGTGCACATATAATTATTTTCAAGCCTCATCCTTTTAAATCTCATTTGAGATAGAAAATTTTTCCTTCTTTCTCCTTTTTCATGCATTTTCCTGCTTATCTTGATGGTTTTCCTTCCCACCACATACAGCAGCAATTTTTGTAAATGATTCTACATTTTAAAGTCACTAACATCACATGTGTAATTCAAAGGAATGAAAATCCTCAAAATTCATAGGAATGAAAGTCCTCAAAGTTGGCCCATTCAATCAAATTTTCATTCCTTGAAATAAATAAGAAAAACTAGTATTTGGAGTAAATCACGTGATATATGTAAATATATTTGAAGAATTTCTCGGGTGAATTGATAGACAAACACAAGTTTTGCGAGCATAACTCTAAATACATGAGTTCTTCATCTGGGAATTTCCTTGAATTTGGAAACTAGATTATATAATTAGTTGCACACCTACATCCCCAAAATGCTTTGCATACAGGAACAATAATTTTGTTGACTAAATTTTACAATTACAGAAATAAATTAGTCTGATTCTATATAACTGACTATTTTAAATGCACTTCAAGGTATAGACATAAGAGTACAGGGTTTTATTATAATTTTCAAGTAAGAAATTATTTTTAAGCTGGTCTGACTTCATAAGAGTTTTTTTGAGAAATATCACTTTGTCAAACATAGGTAGTCTACCAACTTCAGACTTCCATACGTCTTTTCCTTCACTGACAAGTTTTTCAAAGGGGTAGTTTATAACATTCATCCACTTCTCAACTTATTATAGTTTGTCTTTGCCTCCCACATTATTCAGAAGCTGGTCTTAATGACTTTAAAATTGACAAGCAAAAGACACATTGAATCATGATTTGAGTTCTGTATATGATAGGATACTGTTTTCCTCATCCCACTCATTACAGCTTCCCTACTTTGACTTCAGGGACTCTCTCCTTTCCTGATTTAATTCCATTCTTTCTTTACTTCCATCCCTGGGGTTAGTATTTTAACAGCAGTGTTTCTGAGGGTGCCATCATCACCTTCTTTTACTTTACCCACTCTCACTAAGAGATGCCATCCAACCCTATTATTCCAAACACTACATATGGGAGATTGCATTGTTTTAGTCAGAATCCTCCTTTTTCTCCATATTTATTCCATAGCTGCTTCTGGGAAAAGTACATTTTTCAGTCCCTTTGACGGTAAGTTTGGCCATATCATTTGTTTTGGTTAATGGAATATGAGCATAAAGACAATTTGCTAAGTGCACACCGAAGCTTCAAGAGACATCCTGTACTTTTGCTCACCCGTCTTGCATCTTAGCCATCCACCATGAGAACATCTCTTGGGAAGCATCTAGTCACAGGATAAGATGGCACATGAAATGTCACTGAGATCAACTATAGCCTGATGAGAAGCTCAACCTAGTCCAGTAGAGCCACATCAAATCCACAGACCTGGGAGCAAGAAATCAGTGTCTGTTGCTGCAAACCACTGAGTTTTGGGATAGTTTTTATGTAGCAGTTTTTGAGGAAAATACTTGATACTATACCATTGTTAATGTATTTCCAAACATCCTTCAGAATTTTAAACAAAAATATCTAACTGTCATTTGAATTTCCCCAACTAGATGATTCATAGGTACCTCAAATTCAGTGTGTACAAAAATTAACTTACTTTCTCTCCAAGTAAGGTAATTTTTCCATGTTATTTCCTATTTCAGTGAAGAAGAATTGCATCTGTCTATTTTCCAAGCAGAAAAAAATCAAGGTGCTATCTTTTTTTCTTTCTGCCTCTTCCTTGGACTAATTGCTGATTGATTAATCATTAATTCCTTTGACAGTAACATAATTTTATGAACTAATGAATATATTTTCATGGCATTTTATATATCCCTATAAGCTGCCTTACTTTTTCATAAAACAGGGCAGAATATAAACAAATAATCAAAAAGAATTCTGTTGATTTTTTCTCTTCAGTAGCTCTAAATTATTTACCCACTTCTCCAACCACACTGCTACTACACTTGTTTAGGCATTTATCTTTTCTTGCAAAGAATGACACATGCCTTCTAACTTCCTGCAGGTTGCTTACTCTCCAGTATATTCTCCACTCTTCTTCCAGTGTCCTTTTTAACATAAACATTTGATCTACTTGTTCTCACTCATAGGTGGGAATTGAACAATGAGATCACATGGACACAGGAAGGGGAATATCACACTCTGGGGACTGTGGTGGGGTGGGGGGAGGGGGAGGGATAGCATTGGGAGATATACCTAATGCTAGATGAAGAGTTAGTGGGTGCAGCGCACCAGCATGGCACATGTATACATATGTAACTAACCTGCACAATGTGCACATGTACCCTAAAACTTAAAGTATAATAAAAAAAAAGAGAGAAAAAAAGTCCTCACTGTTTAGCTACTTTCAGAATAAATGCAACCAAAGAAGAAAATATAAACTCAACTTGCTATTCAAATATATTAACACATTACAGCTCTATGAAAACAGAAAACTCTGGTTTTTCTCATGTTTTTTAAAAAGTAGTTTCCTTCTCATGAAAATGTCTTGTGCCCTCTACCTCTAATCCAGCTACATAGTCCAGCTGATCCCTGCTCATCTTTCTCAACCCAATTCAGGTGTTATCTCATCTGAGGACCCTTTTGAAATTGTTGTATGCCACTTCATTCGCAGTTAATCTAAGTTAACTGCCCCTTGGGAATTTGTGTATAAGTCTATAGTGACATATATCACAGTTTCTTACAATATTAACTTATGCATCTGCCTTCTGCTTTAGATGTTTCATAGAAAATAAGGAAAGCATATTTCTTTATGTAGATTCTCCTCGGCTTACAATGAGGTTACATCCCAATAAACTCATTATAGGTTGAAAATACTGTAAGATAATAACACATTTAATACACCCAACCTACCAAATATCACAGCTTAGCTTAGCCTACCTTGAACATGCTGAGAACACTTACATTAGCTTACAGTTGGGCAAAATCATCTAACACAAAGCTATTTTATGATACAGTGTTGATTATCTCATGTAATTTATTGAATACTGTCCTGAAAATGAAAAACAGAATGGTTATATGCGTACTTGGAGTACAGTTTCTACTGAATGCATACCAGTGTCACATCATTGTAAATTCAAAACATTTTTAGGTGGAAATATGGTAAAGTGGGAACTGCGTGTATCTAGCTTCCAGGGCAGTAGTCTTATTTGTCATTATATCTCAAGCGCCTATGCATATATAGTCAAAAATATTTGAAACATGAAAAAATAAATGAAATTTTGGATAAATAGGTAATGATCAGGCTTAATTTAGCACTCTAAGTTCTCAAATAAAACACAAATTCATCATAAACTGAAACTTTTTTTCATTTGAAATACATAAATTCAAAAATAGCCACCCTAGGAAGTCTTCTTCAACCTACCAAGACAAAAGTTGGGCATTCCACACTGGCTTAGAACTTTGTACAAACTTTAATCATCACACCATATTGCTATTATTTTGTTTTCATGTCTGACTTTTCCAGTACACTGTGAAATCCCTGAACCCTGAGTGCCAGTTTTATAAAGCTGTGACATTCTAAAATTGAATGCAGTTAAATCTCAAAGCCAAATGCTATTACTGTATACAACAATGATCAATGCTTGTTGAATCAGCTAATTCATTCTTTGAATAGTAATAGAGCTTTATTATGTGTCGTACAAAAATCCCCAGAGCTGAGAATAAGGCAGAGGTACAACAGAACAATCACCTATACACATTTACTATAAAAACTTAGAGTATGAAATTCAAAATAAGAAAGGATGGTTTACTGTACTCTATAGTTAGAGGATGTTTGAAAATTATCTATAGAATTGCAACTTTAACAATGGCTTCAAGAAACCGAGAATAAATTGTCCTAAAATAAACCAACAGCCCTTGATCTTCTATTATCATTTGAAGTTGTGTATAATTGCACTTAAGTTTTATATTGGTCTCAATTCAATATGGTCTATAACATTAGGATATCAGCAATTTTCATTGTAAAAGACCATTACTAATCCAACTGAGTTTGATTATTGTATTTTATCAGGTTAGCAGGTCTTTTCCTGAGCTCTGCAGCATTGCTGTTTTTAATATGTGTCTACATTTTGTGTATTGGTCTTCAAACCCCTCCTATGAAAACTATTTCCCTTCGTGGAGGACCTGATTTTATGAATTGTGCTTTCATTTTTTCACGTTGTATAGCATTGTAATAGTAAGTAAACTTAATGACTGCTTAAAATGTATAAAGTACTCCTGGATTACATTCTCATTATATACTTTATATTATAAATTTTAAGTATTTTATTATTTTTTGAAGGGCACTGAAAATCAATAAACAATTTACATTAGTGTCTTAATTATTTATGGATTTCTCATTAAAATTTCATTTCATATGCATAAATATTATTACTAATATTTAATATGAAAACTCTTATTTGGATATATAGGGGTATAAATAAATAACATTGTTCTACAACCTGATAAAACTTTATTATATCTAACACATATATAATATCATACATTTCACTTTTTTCTATAATTAAAATGGCGAAAGTATCATGACTGCCACTCAGAATGAAAATTATGACTTTGTTGCTAACAGTTTGATGCATAAAGAATTCTCTGAGCACCAGTTGTGGCTTTTGATACAATTAGGCTACCTATTATGTATTCTTGTTTTTACATTTGTGAATCCAAAACCACTTGAGGGAAAATTCACATTCTCGGTCTGTTTTAGAAATGAAATTATTCTTACCTTGTGTCTTTCTTGAAATTATAGTCAAAAATGCTTAAGGAATTGGAAAAAATGAACTCTTAGGTCATTTTAAGGACTCAAAAACAATGTTTCTAAAAGAATCCTTCTCCACACCATCTTTCATAGCATCAGAGTGAGGCACACTGCAATGACTGCATCGCCTTTTATATTATTGTCTCCTAATCCAAGTGGCATATATGTCATGTATACTGCACAAGCTGAAATGTTATTATCATACTTAACCACAAGTTCTTCAATTGCATATGTCTGGAGTGCACTAAACTTTAATGAGCTTCATTCTGCTTGGCCCTGACCATCTCTTCAATTAATCATCACTATGTAATTGGCTCCTACTTTCTAAAGTATTTACCCTACCTACTTTGAAATAATCTGTGAATTTAATGATTATAGCCTTTAATCTACCATTTTTTCACTGAGGAAAGATTGTTACATTCCAAACTTGATTGTTATATGTCACTAGGGTTGACACTGATACATTGTTAAATATACTTGTCTTGAAGAAAGGCATCATACTCTGTAATATATCAAGATAGATTAGAAATATTTTTAAAGGCTGTTATTTTTCAAGAGACATGAAAGTTATTGAAAGGAACTTGTTCTTTTTAAAGACACTGGTTGATATGAAATTCCTTATTTCCTAAGTGGTACTGAATCCTGTACCAAAACTTCATGATAGGCAGACTTCAAATATCTTCTTGAAATACATAAAAATATCTTTGCTTAAAATATTATTTATTGCTCAGCTTTCCTTTTAAAGTATTCTTTATTCTTCTGTTGACTGACTTAGAACATTACTAATCAGAAAATTGCTAATTAATTGGTCTAGCAGTCATGAGTCTTAAAATTGGAGGTGGTAATTACTTCAAAAAATTCTATTCAAGTTAAAATTATGCCAATAATACCAAAACTCTGGGTAAGCATGGTAAGTGCTTCCATTCCTTCTAGCCAGTCTGGAATGAATTAGAAAGTTACAGGGATGGACTTTTGTATAAAATTGCCACTAACATTAAAAATTCAAAAAAAAAAAAAAAAAAACCCCACATGTCTGTGGCATTCTGGTCCCGGCTTCCAAAATAAAAAATTACTCCTGAAACTCTGTAAGGATTTTAAAACATATTTTGGACCAACTCATTATCAAAGAGTACTACAGCTAGAAACCATCATTATGTATCAATTAATTTAAATCAGTTAACGTATAAAAACCTCATGTCCCAAATGATGGAATTCCCTGCTTGAAGTTGGGGAAGTATGGTTGGTACAGAGCAGGAACCAGAATCCAAATCTAACTCCTAGAATTTGTCGGCAAAAATGGTGGGGCTGAAGAACAATTGGTTGAGACAAAGCAAGGATCAGAACAAAATCTTCCAATTCTCATTCCAGTCATTCCAGTGTTCTTTCCAGTCATATGATGAGACATCATGTAGGGAAAGGGAGAGAATGAAATTTAGCATGAGTGAAAAAGATCCTATGGGAAGATTTTGGTAAGGTTCAGTTACAAAGTCATACTCTGTAATGTCTTCCAGCATTGGCAAAAGGAAAGGAGAGGAGATAAAATCTCTGATGAAAATCTGATTCCTGCCTTTTTTGTGTGTTTCATTTTCTCTTTGGATACTTATGTGATTTCTCTTAATCACTGAAATTTTTTAAATTTGCCAAAACATATCCAAATGTGAGTCTTTTTGTCTTTTATATTTTCTACTTCAAAGAGTCTGAGAGTTTGAAATGTCTGGCTTTTTTCAAATAGAAAAATTTTGATACTTTTTTTTTTTTATCATTGCTTCTCCTCACTCTCCTGTTTTGAATATTGCTGACACTTCCAAAACTTCTTTCTCATTTTCAGAAAAATCTATGATGTCATCAACTGTGAGATTCAACTCAATTTAAGAGATATTCAAATGTAAAACGAATAAAGCAGTAGTAATTATCATATGGTATCGATTGTTAGGCACATGTCACTTTCAGCATTGTTAATACGTAAAAATATTGCTTCTGGAAATAAGTCAATTCTGGGTTTACATAAATCAATTTTATAGTCTTCTTTTATAATCCCAAACCCTTTATAATTCTAAATTCCATGAACATATTTCAAGGTCATCTTTTAAAATTTATTTTTAAATTGACAAATAAAAATCAAATATATTTAAAGTATACAACATCATGTCATGATATATGTATACACTGTGGAATGGCTAAATCAAGCTATTTAACATATTCATTAACTCACATATATATCATTTTTTTGGTCAGGGAAACCCTCTAAATCTATTCTCTTAGGAATTTTTAACTTATTGTCATTAACTATAGGCACTGTGAGGTACAATAGATCTCTTGATTTTATTCCTTCCATCTAACTGAAATTTTGTGTTCTTTGACTGACATCTCCCTGATCCTCCCATTCCCCAGCATCTGGTAACCACCATTTTGCTCTTTGTTTCTATTAATTAGATTGTTTTAGATTCCACACATAACTAAGACGAAGCTGTCTTTCTGTGTTGGGGTTATTTCACGTAATATAATGTTCTTCAGATTCATCAATGTTCTTGTAACTGGCAGGATTTCCTTTCCTGTTTTTAAAAGGCTGAATAGTATTCTGTTGTGGATATACATCACATTTCCTTTTTCCATTTGTCTGTCAATGGACACCCAGGTTAATTCCATAGCATGGCTATTGTGAAAAATGCTGCAACAAACAAGGGAGTGCAGTTACCTCTTTAACATACTCTTGTCATATCCTTTAGATATATACTCAGTAGTTGGATTACTGGACCATACAGTCCTTTATTTTTAATTTTTTGAGGAACCTCCAAATTGTTTTTCATAAGAGCTGTGCTGATTTACATTTCCACCAATAGTATAAGAGTTTCCTTTTCCTCATATCCTTTCCAACATTTACATTTTCTCTTTTTGGTAATAGCTATCCTGACTGGTATGAGGTAATATCTCATTGTGATTTTAATTTGCATTTCTCTGATGATTAATGATTATAAGCATTTTTTCATATACCTGTTGTCCATTTGTATATCTTCTTTAGAGAAATGTCCACTCAAGTCCTTTGCCCATTTTTAATTGAGTTGTTTTCTTACGATTGAGTTGTTTGAGTTCCTTGTATATTTTAGACTTAACCCATTATTAGATGTGTGGTTTGCAAATTTATTCTCCTGTACATAGATTGTCTCTTTATTCTGTTGTTTCCTTTGCTGTGCAGAAGCTTTTTATATTGATGTAATCCCATTTGTCTATCTTTGCTTTTGTTGCCTGTGCTTTTGGGTTTAAATCCAAAAAATTATTGCCCAAACCAATGTCATGGAGCTTTTCCTCTATGTTTTCTTACAGTAGTCTCACAGGTTCAGGTCTTAATATCTAAGCTTTACATTTTGAGTTTATTTTTGTATATAGTTATGAGATGGAAGTCTAATTTTATTCTTTTCACGTACAGTTTTCCCAGCACCATTTATTGAAGAGACTGTCCTTTCCCCATTGTGTGTTTGCAGCATCTTTGTCAGAAATCAACTGACTATGAATGAATGAATTACTTTTTGGGCCTTCTATTCTAGTCCATTGGCCTCTACTTCTGTTTTATGCCAACACCATGCTGTTTTGATTTCAAAGTTATCTTCTAAATAATCAAATTTAATACAATAGTTAATCTACTATCACTATAGACTAGATTTTATATGATATGTATTTTTAAATTTAGTAATCATTGTTTTCATTTCCCCAAAATCTGGTTTTCTTAGTATTTGGAACATTCTGATCTTATTTTACATTATTTAAATACTACTCTCATTATTTAATAGAATATTTGTAAGCCTTCTTGTTTAAAGTTATTTGATTTGAGTCCTCTAATGACCACACTATTGAGTTTCAGGGTAAATTCCTATCCATTGTAACTCATTTAATAGTGGTAATCTCTGGGTCTGTCAGTAGTTGTTTTCACATGTCAATTTTGTCAGTCTCAAAAAAATAGAGAATAAAATATGAAAGCAACACAAACAGTAAAAACAAAATATAAATATAAAAAGATTCAAACTTATTTTCTTTTGATGTTTTGAGATTTCAAGATCTAGTGTGAATGCCATAGTAGATAGATAGGGGTTTAGGCAAAGAAATACAGGTGCAATTTCAGAGAAATTTATTTTTGTGAGTCAAAAGCCAATGTTGCAATGTGTCTTAGTTATTTTCAGCAATTTTCACAGTCTCCTGGATACCTCTGTGCAAAGTCTATATGACCTCTATGGGATTCTTTACTTTGAAGGTTCTAGAACTTAGCTAAAACCCTGCCATTCATCTCCGCAAACCCCTGCCACTGCTCCAAAGTCCATCCTTTTATTCACAGTTCACTCTGAATTAGGAGATGTTATAGGGATTCTAGAGAAATTGAGATGGGAAAAATTGAGGAATTTGTTTACCCATTCTGCTGGGGCTCCCTTTCATAGTATGTATTCTCTCATCTGTAACATTTATTGACAATAAGCTTGGAAGTGTCATGTAAATGAATGGAATACCTCTCTATTTATTGGTGTTATAGAACGGCTTCACCCTTAGTAAATGCATTCATACTTTTAGTGGGAAATAAAGAGACTTTTAAAATATTTATGGTTTCAGGATATCATCTCATTCTGTGTATTCAAATTCCAGGCTATATTTTCTAAACTGAAAATGTACCATACAATTTTTGGTATAAAATTCTTCCATGCCACCCAACATAAAGAGAAAACTCCTTGATAACATGGTTTCTATCTTTTCAAAGTCATCTCTCAGAATACAACAAATGCTCACTAAACTCTATTTTTGTATTTTTTTATTTTTATTTTAATTTTATTTTATATTTTCGAGACCGAGTCTCACTCTGTCACCCAGGCTGGAGTGCAGTGGCACAATCTTGGCTCACTGCAACTTCCATCTCCTGGGCTCAAGCAATTCTCCTGCCTCAGCCTCCCAAGTAGCTGGGACTACAGTCGTGCACCACCACACCTGGCTAATTTTTGTATTTTTAGTAGAGAGGAGGTTTCACGATGTTGGCCAGGCTGGTCTCGAACTCCTGACCTCAAGTGATCCAGCTTCCTCGGCCTCCCAAAGTGCTGAGATTAAAGGCATGAGCCACTGCTCCAGGCTTAAACTCTACTTTTAACAGTTCATCATAGTTGAACCTACTGTGATGAACTAGATCTACTATGATCTTTCATACTCCTGTATTTGGCTTATTCAGCCTGAAATATATTTCTCCATTTTTTTTGCCTAAGAAGTATATTTCTGTTCATCTTTCTAGACTCAGCTCAAATATAATTTACTCTGTGACGTCTCTTCTGGCCCTTCTACCAGATTTGGACTCCCATACGCCTTTTTTTATAAAACTCCTTTAATAGTCCTCTAATATTTTTGTATGTGTATTTGTTCCATATGTTTCAATTTTCACCCTGCATAAAACGTCATATGGTGGTCAAACAGGGGGGTCAGAAATCCTAATATTTCCTCTATCCTAATGTTTCCAGCCTATTTTATGAACTACATAGAACCCTAGAAGTATTCTATGAGTTCTGCTTATGGCACTCCTCAGAGCTCTATTTTTATCATTATACAATTAACTAATACAAATACTGGATGCTAAAAACAAAAGGTGCACATTTTAAATAACAATAAACAAATAAATAAAACATTTTGAATGCAGGTCTTATCCAAAACAGTGTTTTCCAACTTGAGAGTTATCATCAAAATATTTATTTGACAACCTCATTTCACCTCTTCTAGAGTCTTCTTCTCATTTCTGTGTACATCCTTTTCCCAAATTCCAAATCAATTACTTGGAGCTCTTAGTTCATTATTTAGTTACTTTATTACTGTTATTCCTAACTCTACTATGTGCCTCACACCTTCTAAGTATTTTATATGCATTAATCTATTTAATTGGATGAAAACAATATTTAAATGTTGGTGCTACTATTATTCACACTATAAAAATAAGGAAACAGAGGACAAAAGGGGAGATATTTTGTCCTTATAAGTCTTTCCAGATTCCCTCAAATCATATTATTATAATATTACTCTAGTATTTGCCATTATTAATTACAGTAAAATATTGTCAATGTTTTATTATTATATAATTCTAGAATTTGTTCTAATGTTGCCTTATATTACACAGTGCTTTATCACTTAGCAAACACTTTTACACACTTGCTTATCTAATTCTCACAATGACATGGTAATACAAGGAACATCATATCCACGTGAAGGATGAAGGATGAATAAACTGAGGCCTGGAGAGGTTAAGACAGAGCAAATTTGCAAATTTGTATCAAAGCCCTTTTTTTTTTTTTTTTTTTGAGGTGGAGTCTCGCTCTGTCACTCAAGCTGGAGTGCAGTGGCCTGATCTCGGCTCACTGCAATCTCTGCTTCTTGGGTTCAAGTGATTCTCCTCAGCCTCCCCAGTAGCTGGGACTACAGGTGCCTGCCAAAATACCTGGCTAATTTTTGTATTTTTAGTAGAGATGGAGTTTCACTATGTTGGCCAGGCTTGTCCCAAACTCCTGATCTCAGGTAATCCACCTGCCTCGGCCTCCCAAAGTGCTGGAATTACAGGCGTGAGCCACCTTGCCTAACCCAAAGTCTTTATTTTAGGCCAGAACACCATCTTATGTTTAAATTTGGCACTACAGTAAGCTAGATAATGGCTCCCAATTATTACTACTCTCTTGTACCTGGAAAAGTAAATGTTACCTTATTTGGAAAAGGGGACTTTGCAGTTATGATTAAATTAAAGATCCTGAGATAAGGAGATTATCCTTGATTTACCTGGTATGTTCTAACAACTATTGCATATATCCTTATAAGAGGGAGACAGAGATTTTTATATACACAAATGAAAAGGTGATGTGAAGATAAAGAGGCAGACATTTAAATATTGTGGCTTTGAGGATTGGAGTTATACACACCCACGAGCCAAAAACTGCTGGCAGCCCCAGAAGCTGAAAGAAGCAAGGAACAAATTATCCTATAGAGCCTTCAGAGGGAGTGTGGTCCAACCAACATTTTGATTTCAACCAATGAAATAGATTCAAACATCAGATCTCCAGAAGTATAATAAAATAAATTTATGTTATTTACAGCCTCTAAATGTGTGATAATTTTTTACAGTGCCATAAGAAACTAATACAGGCATTTACTGAAATTAATACAGATCTAAACTGATTAGCCTCATGATGCTAATTTAATCAGCAGAGTTTTATCTTAGTTTGGGCTAAAGTCAAAAGGTTAAAATAAATATAACAAACTAAAATTTCTATGAATTTAAAATAAATCTCTTATTTTTTGATTTCACAAGAAACAACATTAACAACAGGCAACTTGTTGCTATTATTCTGACCCAATTTCCGGCTGCACCAATATTCACCCAGTCATAATGTACATGAGATGCATATATAATTGGCACCTCTCTTTTACAGTGTCTTGCTGGCCTTTTTTTTTTTTAGCTTTCTCCTTCTCTATATGATTTCTATGTCATTCCACCATTCACCTCGCTTGTAATTTAGTCCTCAAGCTTCCTAAGACAATTACCTATACTTCCAAACTTGCATACTATGTGATTCCCATCTTTTCCATACTTTTATATCACATGATACTTTAAATACTTCCATTCCCATTGCCTTATTTCTTGTTTGCTGGAATTTGTATGGGGTCTTAGATTTTACAGTTTACTTTCTTTGCTGAGTTTTACTTATCAAGGTTTCATAGCTATTGCTATGAACTCTTTCAAATAGCTTATCATTATAAAAAATTCCTACATCATATTTCCAACAGAGTTGTACAGCATAATTTTTCTAATACAGTTTACATTTCTGAAAATGTGAGAGAGATGCAGTGCTTTTATTTGTAACAATCATCACTCTGCTGATGGACCACATTCTGTGAGTTTGTACCAGCATACTTTTATCTAAATTGAGCTGACACAGCTTCTGAAGTAATTTTTGAAGGACCTTAATTTCTCACAACTCTCTTTTTACATCCTTTGCATTCAATTACTTCCTAAGTTAAAGCAAGGAGACATCAGAGTGGAATCTGTATTAGTAGGACCAAATCATACTCTTTATAATGCAATGTCTGGGCCTGGCCATTGGGATCTGTTGGCAGTAGTATAACAGTCAAGCTAATGATTTAGTGTTCCAGTTCACTTCAGTTTAGGGGATTGATAGCTAAGCAGCAGGAAATCATATTTCAGAGCTCTCTGCATATCTGCAAATTCAGGAGTGGTTCCTGTAAAGCACCTGCCTACATTTTAGTCATATATTCGTTTATTTATATCCTGACTAGTTTTAAAAAGAATTTAAGACAGCTTGTAGATATAAAATACATCAATAGAGGATGAAACCTAAAAAAAAAAGAAAAAACAGATTGATCATTAAGTCAGGCACATTATGGGTGCACCACAAGTTTGGCACTAAGATGTCTAAGCAGGTCAAATGGAAGATAATCGTAGCTCAGTTCAGTGAGCTCAGCTGTTTTTCATCTGAAAACTAGAAAGAAATCTCTCCCAAAGGTCTTCAAGAAAAAAGATTCTGTATAAGAAATGGACAAGTGCCTTACATGAGACACCAAAAACTTCTAGAGGGCCATTTACTGAGTTTGTAAATATGTCCTTGATATCAAAATAAAGTATCAACCGATAAAATGCTATTCCAAGAGAAGTTGAAAATTTGGTTGGTATAATTCAGCTATACCACCAAGAATATTACAGTTCAAACAACATATCTGACTCTTCACCAACCCTTTGCCTATGTTTTTCCTGCTGTTTTTGTTAGTTGCAGGTAATTTTTTATTATATAACTACCTATAGATATTATATATGAAGGGTGTGTGTTGATATCTACACACCCTTCAAAGCCTAGTCCAAGTATTCCCTTTAGGCATGTTACATTGTGTATAAGAGCATTGAATATGTAGTCAGAAAGAGCTTGGTTGACTCTTTCATGTGAAAGCTATGTAAGCAAGTTACTTTACCAAGCCTTGGCTTCCATAATTGTAAAATAAGACTAAAACTCTATATCATAAAATTGTCAATAGCTTTAAATTTGATAATGCAACATAATAAATATTCAATAATGATACTTTAACTTTTGTTAGAGCCTTTTGTTAGAGAAATTCTGCCACCAGCTATGAAGAAGTAAACTACCACGCTTGTTGTAAGAGAGTCACTTGACTAGGACTTGGGGTTGATCTTTAGGAACTGAGGGCAACCAGTAGCCAGCAAGAAAACTGAAACCTCAGTGCTACAACTACAAAGAATTCTGCCAGCAAACAGGAAGATTAGAAGAGGACCTCAAGTCTCAGATAAGATTTTAGTCATGCACAACACCTTATTTTCAGTCTGGTAAGGAGAGAACCCTCCTAATCAGTGCCCAGGTTTCTGACACATGGAAACTATGACATAATAAATTTGTTTTAAGCTGCTAAATTTGTAGTAATTTATTGTTATACAGCAGTAGAAAACTAATACAGACATATTAGTTAACCTTTATGACCTTAAGTTATCTCATTGTATAATAGAGATAATGGCATTCATCATACAGAAGTGTTGTGAGTGTCGATTATAATTATTAATTCATACATATTTGTAAATAGTACATACTATAAAATCTGAGATGGCATTGTCACTTTTACAACTCTATGATGCTTAGGAATTTCCTTTGTACTCTGGTAATTTCTTCATGGCTCTTATCTCCCCTACAATATATTGTGAGCTAGTGAAAGGGAGAGCTTCTACCTTGGGTCTCTTTGGAGCCGAATAAAGAATTCTTATAAAATTAGTGATAATGATAGAAATCAGAATATCGGTTACCTCTATAGGTGAAGGAAGATACAGACTGGGAAGGGGTACCAAAAAAACTTATAAAGTTTGGAAACATTCTGAGTAATATAAAAATTTTCAAGCTGTGTACTTAGTATATTTTATAGATTTTCTGTATTTAACTTATACTTTAATTTTTGTAAATGCTGTTCAGGTAACAGATTGATGGTAATCACAGTATTATTTTAATGGAAAATACAATTTCTATTATGCTTGATTTGCAATAAACTCAAGCACATTTGACAGAAAATGAAATGGGTATGTACCAAGTTTTCCAGAGTGAAAGTGACAGTAGCAGTTGCAGTATACTTTCAAAAATAGCAAGATAACTCATTTTAAAATGACATGATAACATGAGACTCCTGGGAGAGGGTTTCAGGACTTAAGCTTTTCAGGTGACACTTTTCAGGTAAATGGCTTCAGAATAGACCTTTCTAAAACAAAGAAAAATTTTTTTAAAAAGTAAAACCAAAATTATAAAAGCAATTCATTTGGTCCTATTTCATGACCTACATATTCCTATATTTAAAGCATTCAAATTTTACCAGCATTTAAAAAAAATGAAACCACATATTTAAATGGTCTTCATGAATTGTTTAATTCTGATAAGAAAAATGAAAGACATGATATTCTTGGAACATCAGAGCAAATGGTAAAAATAGCAAACGGGCATGTGCTTACAAGACTCTCTCTTGAAACCACATTGAACTCTCATTGGCAGTGTCAGCAGGTTAATTAAGAAATCTCTTAGGCATGGCACATGTTCAATACAGATTGACATTACCTGGGACATGGCAAATGCTTGTTCATCAATACTCACCCAACTGATTGACCTGAGTTAAAATTAGAAAAGTGCCACTTACTTCAAGGATTAAATGCCTGCAAAATCATCGCATGGAAGAATGAGAGACAACCATTTGAGGAATACAGGAAGAT
Organism: Homo sapiens; assembly: GCF_000001405.40. Classification (NCBI taxonomy): domain Eukaryota; kingdom Metazoa; phylum Chordata; class Mammalia; order Primates; family Hominidae; genus Homo; species Homo sapiens. The sequence continues at coordinate 89,657,653 of NC_000007.14, forward strand.
AAATAGCATTCAGTGTCAGACTGTTGAAATGGTCTGTTCACTTCAGTAAGTCTAAAGGATGTTTTAGAAAGCAGCAGAGTAGACATTTTCATGACTTCAGTCTCAGGAAATAAGGAAAGCCCTTCTTTTATCTCTAACTTTCAGACTTATTCTCAGAGCTTCAAGGGATTTAAGACATCACCAAATCCAAACTCCTCTATTTGTAGGGGGAAAAAAAAAACAGCACAGAGATATTAAACTGCAGGAAGAAGAGAGGATTAATAAGAGACTTGTATTATAGTGTATTATATTAAAATGAAAATAATGGTTGTATTAAGGAAAATATACCAGCATGTTAATTAATTTTCAGAATTATAAAATAATACTGTTTTATGGAAAATCTTATTAAAATTTTTGAAAAACTATTTTCAGTTCCCCTTTGAGGTAATAAAATATGTCTGGTCACTGATAAATCTCTGATTGAATAAAATACAGAAGACAAAGAGTAAATGCATTGTCACTGTATAATTTGTGACCAAAAGAGAGACAGCAGCAAAAAACGTAAGTAGAGTCTGAGCAGGTTTATCCATACATTTAACTGCTCTTGTCCTATTCTCTGGCTCCCTGAAAACAGACATTACTTCTTGTGCCAATAAGAAAGTCACTGTACATAAATGAAGTTAGTGATAGCAGCAGACTGAGAATCTGCAATTAAGAAGTCACCTTTGGAAAGGCCTGGAGAGAAATTTAAGTGTTCATGCTGCAAAGTACTAGATCATGAAAGGAAAAAAATCAGATATAATATAAAAGGCATTAAACTGATCCTAAGTGATTGGTCACTCGTTACTGCTGCATATATCTATTGTTTCTTCCTCTAGGTTGGACATAGTCAATGTCAACATCTTGATTGTTCACAAATCTACGAGGCCTGCATAAATCCACCTGTTGGCATGGTTACCAGAAGGTGATTTAATCTGCGTGCCACTGATTTTAATAAGCAAGTTAACTAAATAGATTGGCTGAAAATTGGAACAATTTAGCCACTTACTACTTAGATTGCTCTCTCTACTGCTTGGATAGGCCAAGGAGTGTCAAGTTTTCCCAGAGGGTAGTTGGCACAGAAGCAGATGTCACCATAAGTGACTTTCCTGACACCATGGCACAAGCTAGTAGAAAAGCTAGGATCCAAGCAAGGTCTTGGGATCCCTTACCCAGGGCTCTTTCTACCCTGTCAGTTATTTACTCACTCTGTCAAATTCACTGCCACAGTGTATAATTTCAGAATATACGTATCTAACAGTATAAATATATGCCAGAGGCAGATCAAGTATAACCATTTGTTTTTTCCAGAGCCCAGCTCCCGCTCTATTTCATAACAGCTCGGTCTAAGCAACATTGTCTTTTATTTTCCATCACACCACCAATTCCCAGTTAGAGACTAATTTACATGAGGATGCAATTCCCTTATTTTCAATATTACCCCAAATCTCAGAATCCTGAAGAAAAGTCTCTAGTTGCTACCATCCAGTCTGATACAAGCATCTGCATTCGATGTCCCAAACCTTATTGCCCTTGACTTGTCTGCAATTTGCCTGCCCTGTGTCATGTTACCACCCGAGACATGCTCCTTGATAAACAGTAGCTAATAAATAATCTCAAGCAATTGTGTTCTCATGATTTTGCCTTACTGAGAGCCAGAAAAACCAAGGCAGTCTAGCTCAAGCTTTTTATTATATAAATAAGGAAATTTTAGCCCAAGAATTTTACTCTTCATCTAACATCCTGAAAACAGTAGAATTAAGAACTACAACTTAAGATTCTGGACACCTAACAGAATGGGTATTTTTTCTACCTCAAATCATGTCAATTAAGCTGTCATTATGAAGAACTGGCCTAAAACACACAAATCATTCTGACATGATGTCAGCTAATATGATTCTTTGAATCTTCAAGTGGAAATAAAATTAATCCACAGGAGTATAGCACATTAATGTGTAAATTATGCACTGTTGTGAAGTGTGTAATGTAATAAAGAACTAAAACAATGTTTTACTTTCTAAGCACTGCACATATTTCAAAAAAAGAATATTTGATTTCACACAAAATTGAAAACCATTTCAATTTGCCACAAAATTGAACTATAATGTCGAGAGTGTACTTGGGAAAACTAGAATGTTCACATAATAAGTTAAATCTGGGTTATTTCTTTGCAAACCCTTTTTCAGAAAAATTATTTTCTAGCTAAAGAGGAAATAATTGTTTTGACAAGTTCCACCAGATTCATTGACAGATAAAATTTCTTTGGTCTTTGTTTTGGTCTTTGATAAACATTTAATAATTATTGGGAAAGTGTTTAATTTCTTCATTAAAAGTGGTTATCTAAGAAATTAGTAGACAGTGAAATAACAAGATAAAACTGTGTTATAAAAATAGTGAAGAAAATTTCTGGATGAATGTAAAAGTTATTGACTTAATACAACATTATGGCAAACTCATCATCTTTTTTTTCTTAATCTGATAAGCTACTGCTATTCTTATTTGTCACTTGTAATGTTATTAACTTTGTCCCAGTCATTCACTAAAAAATTTAGTCTTATTCAAGTTTTCTGTTTGCTGACCATCTCCTATCCAAAGAGCAACCAGTTCCTATTGCGTCTACATTTTCAATGTTTTATAAATGCACATTGTACTTTCCCTTCCCTTTATCACAGTCTCAGTGCAAGTATAACTTGTATTTGCTTCCCTCTAGACTAAGTCAGTAGGAATCATCCGGTACCTGGCTGGAAGAGTGATGTTCTGTGAACGAAGTCTAGTCTTTGTCATTGTTCTTTCCTTAAAAAATATTTATCACTCCCCCGTGATACTAGGGTATGGCTCAAGTTCCTTACTATTGCATTTAAGAGTTTCTATGATCTGAGCTAAAGCTTTCTTTCTGTCCTTGATGGTATCTCATTGAGGTCTCCATGCTCTAAAGTAATGATATCTAATGATGGAAATGTTTGTATCTACTCTAGCCAATATGGCGGCTACTAGCTCCGTATGTCTCCTGAGCACTCAGTAGACATACTGAGCATATGTGGCTGATGTAACTGAGGAACTGAAATCTGGATTTAATATAAATTGTATAGAAATATGTAGCTAGTGGCTACTATATTGGATAGTTCAGCTCTGAAGTAGTGGTTCTCAAACGTTAGAGTGCATTAGAATGACATAAAGGGCTTGTGAAAACACGGATTGCTAGACTCCATTCCAGATTCTTTGAGCTTAACAGATAAAACCCATGAATTTGAATTTCTAAAAAAGTTCTCAAATTGCGCTGCTGGTTGGTCTGGAATGCAAATTGAAGAATCACTTTCCTAGACAAGTTTAAATCCTTGTTGTCTCTTGAACAAATCCAATACATGGATTTATATCTGCATAGGTTTCTGTCTGTAAAGCTACATTATTCCTTGCTTTAAATTTACTTACATGCCTGCTTCATAAAATAATAAATTACTTGAAAACAAAGATTATGTCCTTGTCATATTTGCAAGACCTAAAATGTCTTATACAGTCATATTAACATAAACATAGAAAGGGGATTTTTTGATTGAAATATAAACCAGTTGGTTTTCAAAATACTAAACAGTAAAACTGATTTTTTTCATTCTAAATTTAAATTGTAATTAAGTAAAGAAATCAGTTATAAAACCATATAAAACACTCTAAAGTTAACTTTAAAATTTGGATTACATAAATTTGAGGAGACATTTATTTCCATTAAGACACCTATATAATAATACTTCAATTGCATAAGTAATTATACTTCTGAAGTAAAAATGTCAAATATCACAGAGATATTAGAAAAAGGAGTTAATTTCAAAAAGTATGAAAAGCTGTTAAAAAATAAGGCAAATCTACCTCTCTCAATGGATATTTCAAACATATGAGAAATACTTTTTAGCAATTTTCAACTTTGTCTACATAACTCAGTTCTTTAAAAAAGTAAAACTAGCTCACATTTTCTGTTGAAATGAGACTCAATACCAAAGAGAGCGAGGTATCATTAAAATGAAGCTCAAGGTGATACAAACATCAGGAGAAGAAATGTTTCCAAGATCTCGCAGCAGTGTGCCTAGTTAAGACCAGACAATTAGTTCCTTGCTGTGATAAGCCACCTTCAAACCTGCAATTCGAAAGAAGCCACCTATAGAGAAGTAACTTCTACTTCTTTTTAAATTATAGTAAGTCACCAAATTATTTTTCTTCAAGCCATCAAAGAAGTTTGCTCAGAACATTTTTCAAACAAATTCACTCTACAGTATTAGAAACTCAAAAATGAGTGACTGTTTCATTAACCGAATCACAGTTTTCCCATTTTCACACTAATAGAGGCCATTACATAGACACTAAGGAATGTGGTTAATGAATAAACACTCAAAATCATAGCACAGGGAAGAGCCTTGATGGCATCATCTGGCCTAAACTGAACATTATCTGTTGCTAGGTAACCAAAGATAATAAAAAGGTGTCTGAAGCAGGCCAGCAAATGAAAACCAGCCTCAGCCAATCTTTAATGTCAGTCCTGCTGCCACCAGTACCATTAAGTTTGTAGGAGGTCCAAAATCAAAATGCAGCAGCAAACTTGAAGAGGCGAAGTTTCTCTTACCCCATGATCTAATGTCCACCTTTCTATACCAATAAAAGGTGAGGCTGACAATAAATTCTCTAAGAAAAAAAAAATCCATGCTCCTTGAACTCTGAGAAAGTAATTTCTAATATTTTATGACAGCCATTCTAATGTTCATTCAGCAAATATCTAAAAGCTTTAAATAAATTCGGTAAGTGTTCTAGGCAGATGGCTTGTTTTGATTGATAGTATTTTTGTTTTGTTTTGCTTTCTGTTGTTTTTGTTACTTTGATTTTTGTTAATGTAATTTATTTTCCCTTTTTTCACACCATAATCCCAGCACTTTGGGAGGCCAATACAGGATGATTGTTTGGACCCAGGAGTTCAGGACCAGCCTGGGTGACCAGCCCATCTCTACAAATAATAATAATAAATTAGCTGGGTATGGTGCTGTGCAGGTATGGTACCAGCTACTCAGGAGTCTGAGGTGAAAGGATGGCTTGACCCCAGGAGGTGGAGGCTGCAGTGAGCCATGATCATGCCACTGCACTCCAGCCTGGGTGACAGAGCGAGACCCTGTCTTAAAATAAAATAAAATAAAATAAAATCTCTTTAGGAATAAAATATCTACCTGAGCAAATCAACAACCTAAACGGGTTGCTAATTTTAATGTTGAAGTTTCTGGGATCTTAAATATGTGTGACATGGAAGCCTTATGAGCCATTTCTTCCACTTGTTCACTCCTTTAATCAATTGGTACTTCATTAGAGGCTATATAGGAATTCAAATGGTAGAAAATGTTAAGTACCTTGCTTTACTATCTCAGAGCTATTTCCAGTCCTCCATGGCTCCCTGGGTAAAAACCAGGAGTTCTGTTAATTCTAGTTTTTACTTCCTTTCTACTTATATTCTACTGCCTGTAGCGTCCATAGCATAAGCCTCTTGCAGAATTGCTAATAGAAAGACCCACACATACTTCCGATTGCCAGTTCAATTTGCTCAGGCAGAGTCTTCTCATCACCAAGAAACATCAGGTTTTATAGTGGGCAGCATTGGTGGGAGGCAATTCAGTATTTCAGGAATAGGGATGTATAACATTTTTCATGCTCATCAAAGAAGTAATAAGTTAAAAATTCAGAAACAGTTCTATCAATATTAAACATTTGTGTGTCTACCTTAGCTGGTTTGGCAATTACTTTTCTTTCTGTTTGCAATCTCCTTCCCTATCTTCTCATGATTAATGTCTGTATGTCTTTTAAGACCAAACTTAGGTAACGTTTTCTGCAAAAGCCTACCTATGAACATTAGACTGGATTTATGTGACCAGTCTCTCACTTAGATTGTAAAGTCCTTCAATAGAGATTGCTCATTATTCCTCTTGGGATCATAGGTATCTAGGAATATTCTCATCACATAAGAGATGTTCAAATAATGTCAGATGAACTGCAATGAACTGGACTTTCAATCTAAGTAGGTGATCCTACCTCTTATCTTACTGAGAAGCATGAAAAAGAAAAATGTCCCCCCTGCTTCAATGATACATATCTGTTGCATCACACTCTTTTGCAAAGCCTTGTTCTATAGCCTATACTTATTCTATCCTTTTCTTCTCTCCGAGAGAAACAAGTCTGTCCTCTTTTCCAAAAATAATACCTATGCTCCTTGGGAACTCGTTCTATAAATGAATTGCATAGCTTTTTTCTAAAAAAGCCTCACTCTTCTCCTGACCCATTTCATTGGCCTACAAACACATTCAGTTTACTTAGCCTAAAATCTTCTTGAGAGACCTTATTATGCCCTTAAATTATAATTCTCTTTTTTCATTTCACTCACACATTTTTCCAAATAAATCTCCTGATCAGTAAACAATCAAAATTATTTGTCAGTAAATGAGGATAGAAAGACGGGACATACAGAGAAGCTGATTTGTAACTATAAAAGAATAGGTGTGCTGGTAGAAGGCAATAAAATATTCTATTTATATAAAGACTAGCATGGCACTAAAGCTCCACTTTCTCATCAAACCATCACTCATTGAATATTTGATTTGTTGCAACTCAGTAGGCACTAACTCTATATGAGAATTTACCAAAAATACCCAAATTCTGACTTTTTGTGGGAATCTTAATTTCATGTTAGAAATCTTAATTTTGAAGACATATGGTATATGTAAACTTCCTCTGAAAATACTTTTCTGCTATGTTAAAAAGTTTTGATAATTTTAATTTGTTGTTGTTATTGTTTGGTTTGGTTTGATTTGCTTTAGTTTGGTTTGTTGTGTGGAGTTCACTTTATGTTAAAATAGGCATGATTTAATTGAAGGGTTAGTGAAGATGGATGGTGAATGGTAGGGATGGAGAAGGGGAAGAAGATTCAAACTTTCTCTATACAAACAATATTGAGACATATCTGTCACTAGGAAATGCTTATTGCTACAGGAGCAGTTACCAAACAAATAAATTCTTGTGTCATCAAGCAATTAAATTCAAGTTGAAAGAAATTACATTTATATTTGACATTTTAACTCTCTCTTTGTGAACTGAGAGATTACTTAAATTACCTCCTAAGACCTCACTGTGTTAGATTATTCAATCCAAACTTATGTATGGCAACCTGTGTCCTCACCTTTGGTTAACATCTTACCACACGGACTAATAGTCTTGGTCATGTGACTTGCTTTGGCTAATAGAATATAACAAACAAATATAATGCAGAGATATTTTAAAATGCTCTACCTTGGTTGTTGTGTTCTTGCTGTTCTTGGAATGAATTTCCATGTGAACAAGACTTGGCTAGCCTAAAGGAGTGAGCAGTTGAGTTAAAGCTTTAGATCAATCAGCTCCCACATGATTATAAATATATGAAGGCACCCAGGCAAAACCAGAACTCTTCAGCTAAGTGCAGCCCAAATCACTAGCCAATAACTGAGTACTTTCGTCTGAAATTTTTATCTTATAATAATTGTCACTTTGGGGTAATCACAGCATTCTGTCTGAGACAAATTAATTGTGCTAATGCACTGGTAGTAAACACAATGTTTAGTAGTAATATATTAGCTGTGCATACTTAAAGCAATGAAGGATTAAATTTCATAAAGTGCAAGTACTTATAATATATTGATTTATCCTGGAAGTTCTTCAATAACATTGAATTTATAAATAAGACAAATTCTAGAATACAAATATGATCCTCTATAGTAACCATTCTTTATTTTTAAGTGTGGATATCATATATTCCATTACCTCTACCCTGTTGCATAAATATTTAATATATAAAAATACAGCATTATTTAATTTGCCATATTTTTCTCATTGTCAGCTTTTAAATGCATACTGTTTAAATGCCTAATATTCTTGACTATTTGAGGCTGCATGCAATATTTGTAGTAAGTAAATGCAAACTAATGGTTGACAAAAATCACAATTTCTTAATCCAGATAATCTTTGGATATGCATAAAACAATGAAAACCTAGAATTATTTATGGGCTATAAAGTACTGTAAGCTACAACATACTGTAAAGATTCTTACAGTACTTTATAAATCCCATCTGCCTTAAAGAACATCTATTTAATATTCAGGTTTCTTCATCTGGTAGTTTACTGTATATATTACATATTTATTCATTTATAAAATATAATATTTATCTAAAATAGAGTTCATGTCTAAAGATTTTAGTTTACACAATGACTACAAAGCTGCATGAACTAGGACATGTATTTGCCCTAAATTTAAAGTTCTACATACTGTCAAGCTCTACCTGGCTAAGTCATTATTGTTCTTCTGCCAAAAACAAAGGTGAGATATGCCAACATAAATGCGAAGATACTGCAACATATTCAGTTAGTATCATCTCTTGAACAGCAAATAATTTTTGCAAAAAAAAAAAAAAACCCAGAAACTTTTACGAAGCTGGCATAAGGGTTGTTAAAATACTATTTATATATACAGAAGGCAGATTTCATCAGATCTTCAAGTTATTAAAACATCTTCATGCAGAATAATTTGATCTTGTTTGTTTTTATTATGTTTGTGTTAATGTGTTTTATGTTTTCTCTGCTCTTCAGACGGTTGTGTGAGATGAAGTTGTGACAACTGGATAGGCATGGAGCTGAGTGCCAAAAGACAAAATAAAACAAATAGAGCCAAGACAAGAAGCGCAGATGAATTCCAGGAGTTGGAATATGGCCAAGAATCAAAATGTATGTTAGTATTAGGGTTTATATAATCAGCAATTAGGGTTTATATAATCAGCAATGTATGTTAGTATTAGGGTTTATATAATCAGCAATATCATGGGAAACAATGAGCCACAGTCAAATAACATCCTAGAATCAATTACAAAGAAAAAAAAGAACTTTGAGGGTTTTTGAAATTTTTGCTGAGTGACTAATAGGTTCTGAATAGTATGTTCATACTTAGCCTAGATTATGTCATTTAATCCTTACCACACTCTTGTGAGGTAGGTATTGTTGTTTTCACTTTATCAATGAGGAAAGAGGCACAGATAAATTATGTGACTTGCCTAAAGATCACTAACTTTAAATGGTTGAAACATGATAAAATCCCGGTCATGTAAGAGTTGAAAGCCTGTCCTTTAAATTTGGTGTTGTGGTGAGACAAGAGGAGCCTAATTGCTGAGCTAAACTTTTGCCTCTGCCCCAGAATTATTTTATTAGCATTCCCGATATGTTAATGTGTTTTTGCATTTTTATAAAGGAATACCTGAGACTGGGTAATTTGTAAAGAAAGATATTTTATTGGCTCATGATTCCGCAGGTACAAGCATGGCATTGGCATTTGCTCAGCTTCTGGTGAGGCCTCAGGGAGCTTATACTCATGGCAAAAAGTGAAGCAGGAGCAGGCATATCATATGGCAAAACAAAAAGCAAGAGAGCAAGAAAGAGAGGAGGGAGGTTCTAAACTCTTTAACAATAAGAACTTGCTGCAACTCCCATGGGGAAGGCACCAAACCATTCATGAGAAATCCGTCCCCATGACCCAAACATCTCCCGTTAGGCCCACCTCAAATATTGAGTGTCACATTTCACAATGAGATTTGAAGGGGACAAACATCCAAACCATATCACCCAGTCTCACTAGCACTTTATTAATGACTCAGTCTTTAAAATGGCCACTGCCACTATCCCTGGCACTGGTTTGTAAATTAAAAATAGAGTGGTGGCTTCTCTGTCTAATGTAACTCTCTAGTAAGCTTGAATTATTTTAATCTATCTATCTATCTATCTATCTATCTATCTATCTATCTATCTATCTATCTATCATCTATCTATCCATCCATCTATCTATCTATCCATCTATCATCCATCTATCTGCCAACACAAAAAGAACAAATCATGAAATAAATGTTTATTTATTTGCAATGCTTTGGCTAACACCACCCCTCAGAGTGTAGTGACCAGCAGTCCAGGAATACCTTGGTCGTCCCAGCGCAGTGGACTCCAAACCTTGGGGAGCCAGAGAACAAAGTTGGGGCTGGATACAAGTTTCCCATTGCTAAAGCTTTCAGTCCAGGAGTTGGGAACTGAGCACTGGCCCCCTAAAATCCAGAAATGAAGCCAGTCTACTGAATCTACCTTAGACCACAATCAAACCCTCAAGGTCATCAAATAGGATAAAAGAAAAAAAATCCAAAGTATAGAAACCTCAAAGATTGAAGAAACATCAGCCCACATAGCTGGGAAAGAACCAGCACAAGAACTCTGAAAACTCAAAAGCCAGAGTGTCTTCTTTTCTCCAAACAACCACACCACCTCTCCAGCAAGGGTTCAAAAATGGGCTGAGATAGCTAAAGTGCCAGAAACAGAATTTAGAATATGAATAGAAATAAAGACCACTGAGTTGAAGGAGTACATTGAAACTCAATGCAAGAAAGCTAAGAATCACAATAAAACAATACAGGAGCTTATAGACAAAATAGCCAGTATAGAAAAAAAATTGTAACTTACCTGATATAGGTGAAAAAACACACTACAAGAATTTCATAAGGAAATCACAAGTAGTAATAGCAGAATAGACGAAGCAGAGGAAAGAATCTCAAAGCTGGAACACTGGGTTTCAGAAATAAGACAGACAAGAATAACAAAAAAAGAATGAAAAGGAATGAACAAAACCTCGAAGAAATAGGAGATTATATAAAGTGACCAAATCTATGACTCATTGGTGTCCTTGAAAAACACAAAGAGGGTATAAGCAACTTGGAAAACATATTTCACAATATTATCCATGAGACCTTCCCCAGCCTAGCTAGAGAGGCCAACATTCAAATTCAGAAAATGCGGAGAACCCCAGTAAGTTACTTCACAAAAAGAACATCCACAAGAGAAATAATTTTCAGATTCTCCAAGGTCTAAACGAAAGAAAAATGTTAAATGAAGCTGGAAGAAGAATCAAGTCACCTACAAAGGAAAACCCATCAGACTAACAGCCAACTTCTCGGCAGAAATCCTACAAGCTAGAAGAGATTCAGAGCCAATATTCAACATTCTTAAAGAAAAGAAATTCCAACCCAGAATTTCATATCTGGCCAAACTAAACTTCAAAAATGAAGGAGAAATAAGACTCTTTTAAGCCAAGCAAATGCTGAGGGAATTTGTTACCACCAGACCTGCCTTACAAGCACTTATAAAGAAAGCACCAATATGGAAAGAAAAGACCATTAACAGCACTACAAAAACACTCTTGTTGTTGTTGATGTTGTTGTTGTTTTTGTTTTATTACACTTTAGGTTCTAGGATACATGTGCAGAACATGCAGTTTTGTTACATAGGTATACACGTGCCATGGTGGTTTGCTGCACCCATCAACTCGTCATCTACATTAGGTATTTCTCCTAATGCTATCCCTTTCCTAAACCCCTAGCCTCCGACAGATCCTGGTGTGTGATGTTCCCCTCCCTGTGTCCATGTGTACTCATTGTTCAACTGCCGTTTATGAGTGAGAACAAGCGGTGTTTGGATTTCTGTTCCTGTGTTAGTTTGCTGAGAATTATGGTTTCCAGCTTCACTGATGTACCTGCAAAGCATATGAACTCATTTTTTCTTATGGCTGCATAGTATTCCATGTTGTATATGTGCCACATTTTCTTTAACCAGTCTATCACTGATGGGCATTTGAGTTGGTTCCAAGTCTTTGCTATTGTGCTGCAATAAACATACATGTACATGAGTCTTTATAGTAGCATGATTTATAATCCTTTAGGTATATACCCAGTAATGGGATTGCTGGGTCAAATGATAATTCTAGTTCCAGATCCTTGAGGAATTGCCACACTGTCTTCCACAATGGTTGAACTAATTTACATTCCCACCAACAGTGTAAAAGTGTTCCTAATTCTCCACATCCTCTCCAGTATCTGTTGTTTCCTGACTTTTTAATAATCTCCATTCTAACTGGCTTGAGATGGTGTCTTACTGTAGTTTTCATTTGTGTTTCTCTAATGACCCGTGACTATGAGCTTTTTTACATATGTTTGTTGGTCGCATCGATGTCTTCTTTGGAAAAGTATCTGTTCATATCCTTCACCCACTTTTTGATGGGGACGTTTATTTTTTTTCTTGTAAATGTGTTTAAGTTCCTTGTAGATTCTGGATATTAGCCCTTTGTCAGATGGATAGATTGCAAAAATTTTCTCCCATTCTGTAGGTTGCCTATTCACTCTGATGACAGTTTATATTGCTGTGCAGAAGTTCCTTAGTTTAAATAGATCCCATTTATCAATTTTGGCTTTTGTTGCCATTGCTTTTGGTGTTTTAGTCATGAAGTCTTTGCCATGCCTCTGTCCTGAATGGTATTGCCCAGGTTTTCTTTTAGGGTTTTTATGGTTTTAGGTCTTACATTTAAGTCTTTGATCCATCTTGAGTTTATTTTTGTATAAGATGTAAGGAAGGGGTCCAGTTTCAGTTTTCTGTATGTGGCTAGCCAGTTTTCTCAACACCATTTATTAAATAGGGAATCCTTTCCCCATTGCTTGTTTTTGTCAGGTTTGTCAAAAATCAGATGGTTGTAGATGTGTGGTGTTATTTCTGAGGCCTCTGTTCTGTTCCATTGGTCTATATGTCTGTTTTGGTACCAGTACAATGCTGTTTTGGTTACTGCAGCCTTGTAGTATAGTTTGAAGTCAGGTAGCATGATGCCTCCAGCTTTATTCCTTTTGCTTAGGATTGTCTTGGCTGTACAGGCTCTTTTTTGGTTCCATATGAAATTTAAAGTAGCTTTTTCCAATTCCATGAAGAAAGTCAATGGTAGCTTGATGGGGATAGCATTGAATCTATAAATTATTTTGGGCAATATGGCCATTTTCACAATACTCTTTCTTCCTATCCATGAGCATGGAATATTTTTCTATTTTTTTGTGTCCTCTATTATTTCCTTGAGCAGTGGTTTGTAATTCTCCTTGAAGAGGTCCTTCACATCCCTTGTAAGTTGGATTCCTAGGTATTTTATTCTCTTTGTAGTAATTGTGAATGGGAGTTCACCCATGATTTGGCTCTCTGTTTGTTGATTATTGGTGTATAGGAATGCTTGTGATTTTTTGCACATTGATTTTGTATCCTGAGACTTTGCTGAAGTTGCTTATCAGCTTAATGAGATTTTGGGCTGAGACGATGGGGTTTTCTAAATATACAATCATGGCATCTGCAAACAGACACAATTTGACTTCCTCTTTGAATACCCTTTATTTCTTTCTCTTGCCTGATTGCCCTGGCCAGAACTTGCAATACTATGTTGAATAGGAGTGGTGAGAGAGGGCAACCTTGTCTTGGGCTGGTTTTCAAAGGGAATGCTTCCAGCTTTTGCCCATTCAGTATGATATTGGCTGTGGGTTTGTCATAAATAGCTCTTATTATTTTCAGATATGTTCCATCAATGCCTAGTTTATTGAGTTTTTAGCAGGAAGGGTTGTTGAATTTTGTTGAAGGCCTTTTCTGCATCTATTGAGATAATCATGTGTTTTTTGTCATTGGTTCTGTTTATGTGATGGATTACGTTTATTGATGTGCATGTGTTGAAACAGGCTTGCATCCCAGGGGTGAAGGTGACTTGATAGTGGTGGATAAGCTTTTTGATGTGCTGCTGAATTCAGTTTTCCAGTATTTTATTGAGGATTTTGCACTGATGTTCATCAGGGATATTGGCCTGAAATTTTCTTTTTTGTTGTGTCTCTGCCAGGTTTTGGTATCAGGATGATGCTGGCCTCATAAAATGAGTTAGGGAGGAGACCCTCTTTTTCTACTGTTTGGAATACTTTTAGAAGGAATGGTACCAGCTCCTCTTTGTACCTCTGGTAGAATTCAGCTGTGACTCTGCCTGGTCCTGGACTTTTTTTGGTTGGTAGGTTATTCATTACTGCCTCAATTTTAGAACTTGTTATTGGTCATTCAGGGATTTGACTTCTTCTTGATTTAGTCTTGGGAGGGTGTATGTGTCCAGGAATTTATCAGTTTCTTCTAGGTTTTCTAGTTTATTTGCATAGAGGTGTTTATAGTATTTTCTGATAGTTGTTCGTATTTCTGTGGGATAAGGGGTGATATCCCCTTTATCATTTTTTATTGTGTCTATTTGATTCTTCTCTCTCTTCTTTATTAGTCTGGCTAGTGGCCTATTTTGTTAATATTTTCAAAAAACCAGCTCCTGGATTCATTGAATTTTTTGAAGGGTTTCTCGTGTCTCTATCTCTTTCAGTTCTCCTCTGATGTTAGTTATTTCTTGTCTTTTGCTAGCTTTTGAATTTGTTTGTTCTTGCTTCTTTAGTTCTTTTAATTGTGATGTTAGGGTCTCAATTTTAGATCTTTCCCACTTTCTCCTGTGGGTATTTAGTGCTATAAATATCCCTCTAAACACTGCTTAAGCTGTGTCCCATAGATTCTGGTATGTTGTATCTTTGTTCTCATCGGTTTCAAAGAACTTATTTATTTGTGCCTTAATTTCATTATTTACCCAGTAGTCATTCAGGAGCAGGTTGTTCAGTTTCCATGTAGTTGTGCAGTTTTGAGTGAAATTCTTAATCCTGAATTCTAATTTGATTGCACTGTGGTACAACAGACTGTTTTTTATGATTCCCATTCTTTTGCATTTGCTGAGGAGTGTTTTACTTCCAATTATGTAGTCAACTTTATAATAAGTGTGATATGATGCTGAGAAGAATGTATATTCTGTTGATTTGGGGTGGGGAGTTCTGTAGATGTCTATTAGGTCTACTTGATCCAGAGCTGAGTTCAAGTCCTGAATACCCTTGTTAATTTTCTTTCTTGTTGATTTGTCTAATATTGACAGTGGGGTGTTACAATCTCCCACTTTTATTGTGTGGGAGTCCAAGTCTGTTTGTAGGTCCCTAAGAACTTGCTTTATGAATCTGGGTGCTCCTGTATTGGGTGCATATATATTTAGGATAGTTAGCTCTTCTTGCTGCACTGATCCCTTTACTATTATGTAATGCCCTTCTTTGTCTCTTTTGATCTTTGTTGGTTTAAACTCTGTTTTATTAGAGACTAGGATTGCAACCCCTGCTTTTTTTGCTTTCCTTTTGCTTGGTAAATATTCCTCCATCCCTTTATTTTGAGCCTATGTGTGTCTTTGTACATGAGATGGGTCTCCTGAATATAGCCCACTGATGGGTCTTGACTCTTTATCCAATTTGCCAGTCTGTATCTTTTAATTGGGAATATTTAGCCCATTTACATTTAAGGTTAATATTGTTATGTATGAATTTGATCCTGTCATTACGATGCTAGCTGGTTATTTTGCCCAATAGTTGATGCAGTTTCTTCAGAGTTTTGAAGGTCTTTACAATTTGGTATGTTTTTGCAGTGGCTGGTACCAGTTTTTTCTTTCCATATTTAGTGCTTCCTTCAGGACCTCTTGTAGGACAGGCCTGGTGGTGACAAAATCTCTCAGCATTTGCTTGTCTGTAAAGGATTTTATTTCTCCCTCATTTATGAAGCTTAGTCTGGCTGGATATGAAATTCTGGGTTGAAAATTCTTTCCCTTAAGAATGTTGAGGCTGGGCATAGTGGCTCATGCCTGTAATCCTACCACTTTGGGAGTTCGAGGCAGGCAGATCACAAGGTCAGGAGATTGAGACCATCCCAGCTAACACGGTGAAAACCCATCTCTACTGAAAATACAAAAATTAGTTGGGCATGGTGGCATGTGCCTGTAGTCCCAGCTACTCAAGAGGTGGAGGCAGAAGAATCACTTGAACCAGGGAGGTAGAGGTTGCAGCAAGTCAAGATCACGCCACTGCACTCCAGCCTGGGCGACAGAATGAGATTCCATCTCAATAATTAAAAAAAGAAAAGGTTGAATAATCGCCCCCACTCTCTTCTGGCTTGTAGAGTTCCTTCAGAGAGATCCACTGTTAGTCTGACGGACTTCCCTTTGTGGGTAACCTGACCTTTCTTTCTGGCTGCCCTTAACATTTTTTCCTTCATTTTATCCTTGGTGAATCTGAAGATTATATGTCTTGGGGTTGCTCTTCTTGAGGAGTATCTTTGTGATGTTCTCTGTATTTCCCAAATTTGAATGTTGGCCTGTCTTGCTAGGTTGGGGAAGTTCTCCTGGATAATATCCTGAAAACACTTCAAACTTGGTTCCATTCTCCCCATCATTTCCAGGTAAACCAATCAAAGGTAGGTTTGGTCATTTCACATAGTCCCATATTTCTTGGAGGCTTTGTTCATTTCTTTTCACTCTTTTTTCTCCAATCTTGACTTCACACTTTATTTCATTAAGTTTGTCTTCAATCTCTGATATCCTTTCTTTAGCTTGATTGATTCAGCAGGGGCTCATAGATAAAACTCCCATCTCCCTGGGACAGAGCACCTGGGGGAAGGGGTGGCTGTGGGCACAGCTGCAGCAGACTTAAACATTTCTGACTCCTGGCTCTGAAAAAAGCAGGGAATCTCCCAGCACAACACTCGAGCTCTGGTAAGGGACAGACTGCCTCCTCAAGTGGGTCCCTGACCCCTGTGCCTCCTGACTGGGAGACACCTCCTAGCAGGGGTCGACAGATACCACATACAGGAGAGCTCTGGCTGGCATCTGGTGAGTGCCCCTATGGGATGAAGCTTCCAGAGAAAGGAACAGGCAGCAATCTTTGCTGTTCTACAGCCTCCACTGGTGATACCCAGGCAAACAGGATCTGGATGGACCTCCAGCAAACTCCAGCAGACCTGCAGCAGAGAGGCCTGTTAGAAGGAAAACTAACAAACAGACAGGAATAGCATCAACATCAACAGAAAGGATGTCCACACAGAAACCCCATCCAGAGGTCACCAACATCAAAGACCAAAGGTAGATAAATCCACAAAGATGAGGAAAACCCAGCACAATGCAGCTGAAAACTCCAAAACCAGAATGCTTCTCCTTCAAAGGATCACAGCTCCTCACCAGCAAGGAAACAAAACTGGATGGAGAATTAATTTGACAAATTGACAGAAGTAGGCTTCAGAAGGTGGGTAATAACGAACTCCTCCAAGCTAAAGGGGCATGTTCTAACACAATGCAATGAGGCTAAGAACCTTGAGAAAAGGTTAGAGGAATTGCTAACTAGAATAACCAGTTCAGAGAAGAACATAAATACCTGATGGAGCTGAAAAACACAGCACGAGAACTTCGTGAAGCATACACAAGTATCAAAAACACTCTTAAGTACAGACCATGATACTATGAAGCAACCACATTACCAATTTTGCATAATAACCAGCTAACATCATGATGACAGCATCAAATACATACATATAAACACTAACCTTGAATGTAAATGGGCTAAATGCCCCAAGTAAAAGGAACAGAATGGCAAGCTGGATAAAGAACCAAACCCATGGGTATGCTATCTTCAAGAGACCTGTCTCTCATGCAATGACACCCACAGGTTCAAAATAAAGGGATGGAGAAAAATCTACCACGCAAACAAACAAACAAAAAATAACCAAAAACAAACAAAAAACAGAAAAATGCTGGGATTGCCATCCTAAGTTCAGATAAAACAGATTTTAAACAAAGATTTTAAAAAGACAAAGAAGAACATTATATAATGGTAAAGAGTGCAATTGCACAAAAAGACCTAATCATTCTAAATACATATGCACCCAATGTAGGAGCACCCAGATTCATAAAGCAGGTTCCTAGAGATCTTCAAAGAGACTTAGACTCACACACAATAATGGTGGGAGACAGCAACACCTCACTGACAGTATTAGATAGACCATTGAGGCACAAAATTAACAAAGATATTTAGGACCTGAATTCAACACTAGATCAAATGGACCTGATAGACCTCTAAAGAACTCTCCACTCAAAAACAACAGAATATACATCCTTCTCATCACCACATGGCACTTAGTCTAAAATTGATCATATAATCGGAAGTAAAACACTTCTCAGCAAATGCAAAAGAACTGAAATGAAAACAACTGCTCTCTCAGACCACAGTACAATCAAATTAGAAATCAAGACTAAAAAATTCACTTCAAACCATACAATTATATGGAAATGGGATAACATGCTCCTGAATAACATTTGGGAAAATAATGAAATTAAGGCAGAAATCAAGAAGTTCTTTGAAACCATAGAGAATAAAGGCATAATGTATCAGAATATCTGGGACACAGCTAAGGCAATGTTAAGAGGGAAATTTATAGCACTAAATGCCCACATCAAAAAGTTAGAAAGATCTCAATTTAACAACCTAACATCACAACTAAAAGAACTAGAGAAACAAGAGCAAAACAACCTGAAGATGATAAATAACCAAATAACCAAAATCGGAGCTGAGCTGAAGGAGACTGAGACATGAAAAACCAATGAAAAGATCAACAAGCTCAGGAACTTCTTTTGAAAAAAATTAATAAAATAGACTGCTAGCTAGATTACTAAAGAAGAAAAAAGAGAAGATCCAAATAAACACAATTAGAAATGACAAAGGGGATACACCACTGACCCCACAGAAATACAAATAACCAGCCAAGAACATTATGAACATCTCTAAGCACATAAACTAGAAAATCTAGAAGAAATGTATAAATTCCTGGACACATACACCCTCACAAGGCTGAGCCAAGAAGAAATTCAATGCCTGAACAGACCAATAATGAGCTTTGAAGTTGAATCAATAATAAATAGCCTACCAACAAGAAAAGCCCAGGACCAGAGAGATTTACAGCCAAATTCTACCAGATGTACAAAGAAGAGCTAGTCCCATTCCTATTACAACTATTCAGAAAAATTGAGGAGGAAGGGTTCTGCCCTAATGTATTCCATGAGGCCAACATTATCCTGATACCAAAACCTGGCAGAGACACAACAATACAAGAAAACTTCAGGCCAATATCCCTGATGAACAGTGATGGAAAAATCCTCAGCAAAATACTGACAAACTGAATCCAGTAGCACATCAAAAACTTATACACCATGATTAGCTAGGCTTCATCTCTGGGAGGCAAGGTTAGTTCAGTGTATGCAAATCAACAAATGTGATTCACTGCATGTAAAGAACTAAAGACAAAAACCACATTATGATCTCAATAGATTCAGAAAATGCTGTTGATAAAATTCAAACCCCTTCGTGCTAAAAACTGTCAATAACCTACGTAATGAAGGAATATACCTCAAAATAACAAGAGCCATGTATGACAAACCCACAGACAACATCATATTTAATGGGCAAAAGCTGGAAGCACTCCCTTAAAAATTGGCACAAAGACAAGAATGCCCTTTTTCAACATTCTTATTCAACATAGTATTGGAAGTCCTGGACAGAGCAATCAGGTAAGAGAATGAAGAAAACGCATTCAAATAGGAAGAGAGAAAGTCAAACTATCCCTGTTTGCAGATGACATCATCCTGTATCTAGAAAATCTCACAGTCTTAACAAAAAAGCTCCTTAGGCTGATGAATAACTTCCACAAAGTCTCAGGATGGAGAATCAATATACAAAAATCACTAGCATTCCTATACACCAAAAAGAGACAAGGTGAGAGCCAAATCAGAAAGGCAATCCCATTCATAATTGCCACACAAAGAAAAACATACCTAGGATACAGCTAACCAGGGAGGTGAAAGATCTCTACAAGGAGAACAACAGAGCACTGCTCAAAAAGAATCAGAGATGATACAAACAAATGAAAAAACATGCCATGCTTATGAATAGGAAAAATCAATGTCATTAAAATGGCCCTACTGCCCAAAGCAATTTATAGATTCAGTGATATTTCTATTAAACTACTAATGACATTCTTCATAGAACTAGAAAAAAAACTATTTTAAAATTCATGTGGAACCAAAAAGAGCCTGAATAGCCAAAGCAATCCTAAGCAAAAAGAACAAAGCAGGAGGTATCATACTACTAAACCTTAAACTATACTATGGGACTACAGAAACCAAAAGAGCAGGGTACTTGTACAAAAACAACACACAGACCAATGGAACAGAATAAAGCAGAAACAAGACCACACACCTACAACCATCTGATCCTCAACAAACCTGACAAAAATAAGCAATGGGGGAACAATTCCCTATTCAATAAATGGTGCTGGGATAATTGGCTAGCCATAGGCAGAAGATTAAAACTGGACCTCTTCCTTACACCATATATAAAAATTAACTCAAGATGGATGAAAGACTTAAATGTGAAACCCAAATCTATAAAAAGCCTGGAAGACAACCTAGTCAGTACCATCTGGACATAGGAACAGGCAAATATTTCATGACAAAGATGCCTAAAGCAATTGCAACAAATGCAAAAAATTCAACAAATTGGGTCTAGTTAAACAAAAGAGCTTCTTTATGGCAAAAGAAATTATCAACAAAGTGGACAACCTACAGAATGGAAAACAATTTGCAAACTATTCATCTAACAAAGGTCTAATATTTAGCATTATAAGGAATTTAAATTCACAAGAAAAAAACCATTCAAAATTAAACAAAGGACATGAACAGACTTTTTTCAGTAGAAGACATACATGTGGCCAACAAGCATATCAAAAAACCTCAATAGCACTGATCATTAGAAAAATGCAAATCAAAACCACAATGAGATACCATCTCACACCAGTCAGAATGACTGCTACAAAAATATCAAAAAAATAACAGATGTTGGCAAGGTTGCAAAGAAAAGACAATGCTTATACACTGTTGGGGGGGGGGTGGTGTAAATTTGTTCATCCATTGTAGAAAACAGTGTAGTGATTCCTCAAAGACCTAAAAACAGAAATACCATTCAGCCCAGCAACCTCATTACTGGGATATACCCACAGAAATATAAATTGTTCTATCATAAAGCTACACGCACATGTAGGTTCACTGTAACACTATTCACAATAGAAAAGACATGGAGTCAACCTAAATGCCCATCAGTGGTAGACGGGACAAAGAAAATGTAGTACATATATACCATGGAATACTACGCAGCTGTAAAAAAAATGAGATCATCTCCTTTGCTGGAACATGGTTGGAGCTGGAGGCAATTATCCTAAACTAATATACAAACAGAAAACCAAATACTGCAGGTTCTCAATTATAAGTGGTAGCTAAATGATGAGAACACATGGACACATAAAGGGGAACAACACATACTGGGGGCTATTAGAGGGTGAAGGATGGGAGGAGGGAGAGGATCAGGAAAAACAACTGATGGGTACTAGGCTTAATACCTGGGTGACAAAATACTCTGTTAAACAAACCCCCATGACATAAGTTTACCAATATAACTACCTGCATATGTACCCTTGAACTTAAAGTTAAAAAAAAGATATGACACAATCTATTCCTTGTAAGAAGTTAATGATATATACAAATGGCTTAAGAATATGTAGTTCTCTAAGAGGAATCAAATATTCTAAAATCTATATCCCAGTATATATGAACCAAATATTTTTTCATATTAGTAATAGCAGGACCATTTAATAACCAGGTTTACACATGTTAGAAGCAGAGCTAAGCCATGACTGAGGAAACATGGTGAAATACAATTTTGGGGCTTAGCATAAAGCCTCAATACAGCAATGGTTCAATAAACATTCACTATTTTAGTGTTTTATTTGGCCGCTAATTAGTAAAGATCCCAAGGAAAGAAGTATTTCCCAATGGAGGGTGTATTAGTCTGTTCTCATGCTGCTAATAAAAACATATCCAAGGCTGGGTAATTTATAAAGAAAAGAAGTTTAATGGATTCACAGTTCCACATGGCTGAGGAAGCCTCACAATCATGGCAGAATGCAAAGGAGAAGCAAAGGCATGTCTTACATGGCAGCAGTCAAGAGGGCTTCAGCAGGGGAGCTCCCATTTATAAAACCATCAGATCTCATAAGACTTATTCACTACCATGAGAGCAGTATGAGGGAAACTGCCCCCATGATTCAATTATCTCCACCTGGCCCCACTCATGACACATGGGGATTATTACAATTCAAGGTGAGATTTGGGTGGGGACACAGCCAAACCATATCAGAGGGGAACTTTACACCTCTTATGTGAAAGAAAAATATTAGGCATCCCTTTTTTGTTTTCAGAAGAGATCAAGAGAAGAGCAATCTAACTAAGCCATGGCAAGTATTTACTATAAAAGAGTGATGAATATAATGTGATGCAGAAAATAAAGATAAAGTGTTTCTATGAGAATCCAAAAAGAAGCAGTTATTTCAGGATGGAAATATTAATTTATTTTATCTTAGTTATATCTTAGTTCAGTGTTCATTTCTGAGTATATTTTAAGATCAGCCCTAGAAGACTGATCCATTTAATTAGGAAGGTCCTTAAGTTACATGGACTGCAGTACTGTTGGTTTCAGATCCTACTGAATGGAAGCAACACCCCAAGACTCCTGACATTAGTTCCAAAGAAGGCTATCACCTACAAAGTACTATATGATTTAGTGCCCTATGGGTTATCTTGGTCTGCTTGAATACTTGGAACCTTACATTCCAGTTATTCCTTTGCAGGATACTCCTACACAGAACCCAGATGCTGTACTGTGAGAAGCCCAAGCCATATAGAAAGGCTGTGTGTAGGCAATCCAGTAGGTAGTCTTAGCTTAACCCATCCTTTGAGTCATCACAGGGCAGCTGCCAGACATGAGTGAAGAAGACTACAGATTACGATAGCCCGGAACTATTTTAATCTTCCCAGCAGAAGCCCCAAATATTACTCTATATTCACAGTGTCCTGTCTAAATTCCCAGCCATCAAATTCATAAGCATAATAAATTGCTGTGGCTTTATGCCACAAAGTGTGGGTGGTTTGCAACACAGCAATAGACAGATAGCCAGAATACCAAGGATGTCAAAGTGGCTTGTAAAGGGACATCCTATTACTATATGAAAACTAAAATACTGCAAAAGCCCTAGGCAGGCATACACTTTCATTGTGGCATTATTGATAACAAGGAATAGATACATTTGTAAGATTAAATGAGGCAGAAATGATGTATACATTAATAAAACAGAAAACTATGCAGCCATTAAAATAGCATAAAATGAAGACAGCAATCAGGAACATGTGTATGTTCTTAGGTTAAGCTAAAATAGAAACACCAAATAATGTACAATTAGGTGTGCATTTGTTAAAACATATATAATATTTATGAAGAGTACTAAAAGTCTGTGCAAAAGAAAACTTCTGCTAACATTAAGTATTAAAAATTTGAATGATGTTGTACCAGATTTTTAAAATATTTTATAGAGTTATGTTTTCTATAAAAGTGTATATAATATACAGGTAGTTCCACATTTCATAAAGAGTTTGGTAATTAATTCTTCCAAACTGGGTGGGGCCACAGCAGAAAAAAAATGAAGAAATGTTTGCTCTTTTGGATTCTGAAGGGCAGTATTGCGTCTACCAGATATGAAAGAGAGAGAGGGTTATTTCAGCATAGTTCTGCAACATACACACAGATTCCTTCAGTGGTTGGATTTGGGTCACTGACAGAATCTTGAGTCAAGGTCAGAAACTGACTGTCATATCATGCAAACACAGAACATCTATGTATTCTTCCATTTTAAATCCCTCCAGTGTCTCGCATTTTCTATGATAATAGGCACATCCTCTATTGAAGGAAGTCTACATTCTGTGGAAAAATTTATGAGTTCTGTGATTTAATGAGTTTGTCTTTTCTAGTAATGTTTACAAAGCTGAAGTTCCTGCTTTGTTTCCTGCTGGGAGAAAACAGCTTTTCATTTTTACCATTGTCTGCAAGTTCTGCTTGTATCTGTCAGTTTAAAAATATTTAATAATCTTTTTCAGAATTTATATTGAACTAAATTTAAATATCAGAGTTTATGAGGCTGAGACCATATAGTCCATTTCTCAGAGGCTAGAAGCTGCTGACACTAACAGAGTTTTGCAAGTAAATACCAGCAGTCTGATTCAACTTCAAATTTGCCAGGAAAACATTTCAGTTAGAGTCTTCTGTTAGCTCTTTGAATATCATCGTCTGGCAAGACCTGGAGATAAACCCTTGAGACACAAACATGGGATAGGATAGTCCCTGAAGTAGGTCCAGATTATGTCTGATCCTAATCTGTGCCAAAACCAAACAACTGCTCCTGCCTTCTTAACTCCTTAAGGTCTGACCTAATGGTGCCAGATGGAAAAGAATGCCAGTTTTGAGAGAGGGTAGCAGGTTCAAACAGGGACATTGTACACATGTATAACAGAGCAGCCATGAGAAACTGCACATGACTGGTTGTTCCTTTCCCATGGTGCCCTGAGAGTTTATGAGCTAAAACAGGCACTTAGAATTGAATTATTAGGTAATAAACTCTATCTAAGATTTCATAGTGTCATGTGCCATACTTAACTTTATAAAAATTAGGGATTTTATTTTCATTACAACCTCTTTGTTCATATTCAAGAGTTAATTTCTTCATTTTGTTATAGTACCAAAGCCTTGAAGGTCATCAAAAAGAAGTTAAGATCAAAAGTGAAAACAAATTAAGGAACAGAAATATTAAAAATAATTGTTATAAACCAAAAACGATATTATTTTACGCCAATTGCATTGCCAATCAAATAACATCTCTAGGGTGACATCATATTCTCTTCATTTTGTCTATTAAATTTCATATATAAAGTCCACTTTCATAAAAACTCTAGAAGAAAACCTAGACATCACCATTCAGGACATAGGCATGGGCAAGGACTTCATGTCTAAAACACCAAAAGCAATGGCAACAAAAGCCAAAATTGACAAATGGGATCTAACTAAACTAAAGAGCTTCTGCACAGCAAAAGAAACTACCATCGAGTGAACAGGCAACCTACAAAATGGGAGAAAATTTTTGCAACCTACTTATCTGACAAAGGGCTAATATCCAGAATCTACAATGAACTCAAACAAATTTACAAGAAAAAAACAAACAACCCCATCAAAAAGTGGGCAAAGAATATGAACAGACACTTTTCAAAAGAAGACATTCATGCAGCCAACAGACACATGAAAATATCCTCATCATCACTGGTCATCAGAGAAATGCAAATCAAAACCACAGTAGGATACCATCTCACACCAGTTGGAATGGCAATCATTAAAAAGTCAGGAAACAACAGGTGCTGGAGAGGATGTGGAGAAATAGGAACACTTTTACACTGTTGGTGGGACTGTAAACTAGTTCAACCATTGTGGAAGTCAGTGTGGCGATTCCTCAGGGATCTAGAACTAGAAATACCATTTGGCCCAGCCATCCCATTACTGGGTATATACCCAAAGGACTATAAATCATGCTGCTATAAAGACACATGCACACGTATGTTTATTGCGGCACTATTCACAATAGCAAAGACTTGGAACCAACCCAAATGTCCAACAATGATAGACTGGATTAAGAAAATGTGGCACATATACACCATGGAATACTATGCAGCCATAAAAAATGATGAGTTCATGTCCTTTGTAGGGGCACAGATGAAATTGGAAATCATCATTCTCAGGAAACTATCACAAGGACAAAAAACCAAACACCACATGTTCTCACTCGTAGATGGGAATTGAACAATGAGAACACATGGACACAGGAAGGGGAACATCACACTCTGGGGACTGTCGTGGGGTGGGGGGAGGGGGGAGATATAGCATTAGGAGATATACCTAATGCTAAATGACAAGTTAATGGGTGCAGTACCCCAGCATGGCACATGTATACATATGTAACAAACCTGCACATTGTGCACATGTACCCTAAAACTTAAAGTATAATAATAATAAAAAATAAATAAATAAATAGAAACAAGTTGAAAATGAAAAAAAAGTCCACTTAATTTGCAGCATCTTATCCAAAATATTTAATGTATAAACACAAGTATGAAAATCTCATATATGTGTGTTAAGTGTAAGTAGTTGTGACTAAGCTTTACAATTAAACTTTACACACTTGAATAATATTCACCTTTTTCTTTCAATTCCAGAATTTCTTTATGAAATTCAAAGAGTCTTAAAGGAAAAAAGGAGAAATACATGACTTTTTTTCTTATTTCCCCCTTAAAGCATTTACAAGCAATGCTGTTTCCTTATCATTATCTATAATCAGTAAATTTTAAAAATTAAACTGTTTCTATGATAACTTCAATAACCTAATTAGTTATAAAACCAACAGTAATGTAAAGGATTTGTTATATAAAAGGCTCATAATTCTATGGGTGCAAATTATATTGAAAAAACGTAATCATTTGGCACCTTTTCCTCATCACTTTTTGGCAGTTGGGAGGGAAAATCTTGTACCATACTGTTAGCCTGCTCTGACTGATCTGAGCAGTAATGACCTATTACCGTGCTAATCTTTCCCTTTATTTCTCAATCTGATAGTTTAGGAACACAACTCGAACTGAGTCCTGCTCTAGCTATGTCAAAGAAATAAAAACACCAGATTCAAGTTAAATTAGCTTGTAATTGCTTCTGGTTTGGAAATGACAATAGCCTGTGGCCTTTGATTAGCTTTAGATAATTTATAAAACTCTTTTATATGAATTACTCTATTTTCTCCTTATATCCTTTGAGTGATAGGTTTTCCATAATAGCCAAAAGCTCAGGAGAGTTAACTTCTCAGAATCAAATAATTTAAAAGCAGTTGAGCCGATGGAATAGATTTTATAGAATGCAATTGCCCTTTGTATGTTAAACACCATGGTTATTATGGTGACCTCTGCCTCTAACGCTGAAACAATGAATCCTAAAAACAAGGTTTTCCAGTTCCATGGATGACATAATTCTCATCTTGCCCTAAAAGCTGACACTTAAGTTAAAAAACAGTAACAATGTATTTAAAAGGGATTAAAATTAGTGACTGTCAAGAAATCTAACAACATTATAATACAAATTTCACCAAAGTTAAAAAAAATCTAAAACTCAGACTAAGAGTTAATATAACTTTATTTTCTTTATTTTCATGGACAGAGGAAAATCCATAAGAAGTTATGATAAAATGCTGACTTTGGCTTACTTGTAAAAATCAATAAAAACATTTAATTGTCAAGAGTAGGGGATATTTTGATGATATAAGCTTCCTTACTTCCACAGATTTAAATGTGCAAGACTTTTAGGACAAAATGACATTTCATTATGACATAGTTCCCTTACACTCCAACAGTATGCTGAATGCCATGCTATATAAACATTGAATGCTAATGAAGGTTACAAACAACGCCTTTAAAGGAAAATCTCATTTCCAGAAAAGGGAGATATTTCTTATTTAAATAAAGGCTTTCTATATGAGGCTTGTTAGCCCTGATTTAAATAGTAATTAGCTGTTTGCAATTAGTCCACTGATGAGTTTATCAACCTGAGTATTTTCCTTATTTTCATTTAGTAATAATGTCATAATAGCACATGCATGCAAAAGGAGTAAAAGAAGATATTGCTTACATTATTAAACAATTCAGATGAAGAGTAGTGGTTTAGTCTTGATGAGTTGAGAACTGCTCTGGGTCAGAAAAAAGATACAGGTGCAAGTTATATTGAAAAAACGTAATCATTTGGCACCTTTTCCTCAATCATTTTTTGGCAGTTGGGAGGGAAAATCATGTACCATACTGTTTGCCTGCTCTGACTGATCTGAGCAGTGATGACCTATTACAGTGCTAATCTTTCTCTTTATTTCTCAATCTGATACCACCAATAGTTGACCATTAAAGTTGTTCCTTTGTTTCATGAACTACCAGATGTTTTACAAGTTTTCCTGTATTTGAGATATGGCATGTTCCAGACATGTGGTATGAAAAACTGGAAGTACTGGAGCAAGAATCAATAACAGAGTCAGACTCAAATTTTCTATCAGTGGCCTTGGCTTGAGAAAACATCCACAGGGAGTTTCTGTGATAATAGCAAGAGCAAAAGAGCTCCTTGAAGCTGCATAAAGTTAGGTTTCTCTCTTACCCCAGCTGGTTTCTATGGCCAGAGGCAGAGATAACTATTTGATATTTAGATTCAAACCTTTTCTGATACCCCCATTTCTGTGATAGGCCAGAAGGAAGTTAAACAACTGCATTAATTATTTAAAGACGGGCCCCAGATATTCTCACTTGTATCAATGCCACTGCTTCCAAAGAGCTCTGCAGCCATTATTGAGAAACTTAGCTGGGCTATTTTTTTTTCTTAATAACACATCTGGAAGATGTTGAAGGCATAGTTAAATAGCTTAGATAAATCTCAAGTTCGTTCCTGATATTAATTGCTCAATGAGCAGCAGATTCTGAATAGGTATGCACATCCTATATAACATAATCAAGTGCTGTGTGGAGTACAAAACTTTTTCTCTTATCACAATGACTGCTTATTTCCTCAACTGGGAGCTACATGAGTTTAAAACCCTTAAAGGTTTTGTAGTGTGCTCATCACTACCTAATAATTAGTGTTTTATTAGGTCTGTGCAGGTTGCAATTTGCAAAAACCCACTAAATTAGCTTGTAGAAAAAGAAAGAAAATATTTTTAGAATGCAAAATTGTCTTATAAATCCAAAGAATCCAGAAGCCGAAGAATCCAGATTTAGTCAGACCTCGAAAAGAAACTGTAACCAGGAACACAAATCCCAACAGCACCTTCCTGTCTCTCATGTCTGCCTTTCCTTAAGACTGCGTCAAAATTCTAGCTCATAGAATACCACTTTTCCTTACTACACGTCCATGTGATAGACAGAACAAAGCTGACTATATCTTTGGGGTTTATAGCTCCTCTGTTGAAAAGACCAGCTATACTTCATTATGATTCCATGTGCCTGCAAGGAAATTCTGACTGCCCATACTTAGTTTAGTTACTCAACCCTAAGTAAACCAAGAATGGAGTGAGGTTATTTAATTGTAACTATTTGTGGGGTATGGTTCCTAACATGGTAGTAGAGCAACTGGGAAAATAATAATAATAATGATAATATCAAAGGTTACTTGACAAATGCTCTTAGCCTTTAAAAGAAAAAATATAGACCATGATTTCTAATTACAAATTAATCAGTTGGGTCATATAGTACCACTGAAGAAGTGGTTGAAGCTCTGTGTTACGTGACTTTTAATACCTTCTTTAGAAATGGTTGAGTTACCTTATTTTTAAAAATTACACAGTTAATAAAATCAAAATGATAAGGAGACTGTGCTTCACTGTTCATTTATTCAAACATTGATATTTCCTGGAGGTCACAAAATAACTAAGTATTATTACAAAGAATAAGAGGAAAACCTGAATTTAGCTAGAGCTGGACACTGTAGTTACCAGGAAAGGCCTTTTTGAGAAAATAACATTCAAGCTAAGATCTGAGAATTAATTGAATGAAGAGTAGAGGCAAGAGAAACACAAACAAAGGGAATATTAAATGTAAAATTCAACAAACTAGAACAAACAATAGTAAAAGCTGTTAACATTAAATCTAAGTTAAAACAGTCAACCAGAGAGCACACTGAAGTACATAACTGAGGAGGAAATATGATATATTACCCTGTGCCAAATGGTTGTTTAATTTTTAATTACATTAAATTACCACAAATATTTAATTAGACACAGGTGGTAACATAGCATCCCTTTTTTGTTCTCACTTCTGAAATAGTATACTGTGAGTTTTTTGTCTGCAATCTATATGGATATATACATATTCATGGAGCGCTAGTGAGTGTAGATGGAACAGCCTGAAAGAAAGCTTTCCAAGAATAAAAACATTCCGATATTGATAAACAACTGCCAGATTCACAGTTTCCAGTCCTGTGCACAGACCAGCTGTGCTGTTAGTTATAACTTCTGGCATGAGTATAAATCTTAGCTTCATTTCATCCCCAGAGATTCACTACTTGTCCAGGCAAGTTCAACAATACATGTTTTGAATTACAGGAAGATGGCAATGGTGGCAGAGTTTTTGAATCTCCCTAAATCCCCTCCAAAAGAGAGAAAGGGACTAGAATTTTAAAACCAAAGCCCACAGACAATATTAACAAGAGAAAAGGGTGAAAGTGTAGCCATAACCCCACAACCCCAAATATGAGCAGGTGTAGACAAACCGTGATTATTAAAGGACCTGGGTGATATCTGTAGCAATGCGGGAAAAACCAGAGGCCAAAGACCCCAACTAACAGGTAGTGCTCAGTAAAGAATACAGTGAGTCAGGCTGAGAACCTCAGTGGATATTCCAGCTCAAGAGTAATTGTAAAGTGAAGACGCTTAAGATTTACTCTATTAGCAAATTTCAAGTATATATACAGGATTGTTAACTATAGTCAGCTCGTGGTAATCACTTCACTGTGTGTATGTATATCAAATGGTCATGCTGTATAAATATATACAACTTTTATTTGTCAATTATACTTCAATAAAACTGGAGTAAAACTTAAATGTTTTCAGAAATAAAAGAACAATTACAAGGGGTCCCTTTGAATATCTAAAGGGGCTGGAGCCATCACAATGCCTTGAGTATTCAAAACTGACCACCTGAAAATTCCCTTTGGATTGTACCCTCACATTAAAGAGAGTCACCTTGAAACAGAATTCAAATTAAGCATGACTTTAAAAGTGTGCATGAAGAGAAGAGAAAGTTCAGAAAAAGTAGCGAAGGGACATAGAGTCTGGAGATCTTACAAAGAGGTTGTATTTCTAAATATATATTTTCTGAACAGGTGGCTCCAACACCTAGCATAATTCCCAGCAGATATTGAAATTGCTATAAAAACAAAAATCCTTTATAAGAATGACAATTATGATGCCTTTTTTTCATACTGAATGCATTTTAGGTCAGTCCCTTAATTTCTGCCCATAAAAGAAATTATCTATTCAAATAGCTGAACATTTTTAAACTTATAAAATATCTCTTTTATAAGATAGAATTTTGATGCTAAAATAATTGAGTATAGCATAGAAAACATCACATCACAGCTTTCTTATTTCCTTTGTATTCAGAACTGAACCTGTGTTTGTGGGAAGTTTTAACTAATTAATTAGCTGAACATAATAAAAATATTACTCTAAAACTGATAAAGAACACAGTCTACCAAAAAATATGCATTAAATACCCCATGTCTGTGCATGCAACCTAAAGGATATTCCAAACAAAGTATTCTAAAATGATATTTCATACAAAATTCATACTGGAAATGGCTCATTTAACTCATTCTAAAAACAGCCTAATTTGGACTAATTTGGAGAGGCCCAGTATCCTCTAGATCTTCAGGCAGGTTTCAACAATCCCTCATACATGGTTTAAATTAATAAGTGCAAAGTTGCAGACACCCTTCTGACATACAATTATTTTATCCTACACTTAGTATTTAAAGAAGTAGTGGCTGAACGGGGAGCAGAAAATTTAATTTCTTGAGTTGCTGTGGCTTTATTGGACTAAAGGTAGCAGTGATTGTACTAAATAGATTTTTTAAAAAGCTCTTTTCTGAGTACCATTCTCATAGTGGCCATGCTATTACATTCATACAATTTTAGTGCAATGCTTGGATTGTAATAGCCTTTGGACACCTGTGCATTGTAGTGCAAGATGTAACACATTATTATTTGTGACACCCCCTCAAATGCCAATTTACTAAACTACAGATTGCTTTCTAGGCCCAATAAATCTTTACAAACCTATCTAAAGTGGATGTACTATACTCTTTTCTCCCTTCCTCCATTCGTTTTGTGCAGTAAATTATATGAAGTGGTTATTATATCATGGTTTTTATTAATCTGAAATTATTGTTCATATTTAATGACATTTGAGGAAAAAGTAAGGATATATTCATTAATCCAGTTGTCATAGTAATTATATTCTCAGAAATGTATTATTATTGTAATCATTATCACTTCTTATTTGGGCAGCAGTTCACACATTTCACATATAACAGTGTGGTTTTGTATTTGTTTAATCCTCTCAAAATCTCTGTGAGATACAGAGAGCAAACGGTATCTATATTTCATAAAAGAACAGTGACTAAAAATTTTCATGATTTACCCACAGTCACGCTGACAGTAAATAGCAGAATCTGAATTTGAATTTATTCTTGCTGATTGCAAGATCGGTGCTTTTTTCACTGTTCCTAACTGCCTCAAAAAAAAAAAGAGCCATATAGATTATTAGATAAGTTCTTCAGTGTGCATATTTCAATTTAGCTGTGGTTTACTTTGCCTCTGTGGAAAGCATAAAATGGAAGAATGGTTAAGAGGTTATTTGCAATAATCCAGGAGAGAAACAATGGTGAGTTGAATGAGAGTAATAGAGTTGGAGGCCATGTCTACAAATGTTTTCAAAATAAAACTAACAAGATTTGCTGATATGGGAATAAAAAACAGAATGATATCATGATTTTTTATCTAAGCAATTAGAAGAATGCGATTACTGTTTGTTTAGATGGGGGACAGTGGGAGATATGTGTTTTAGATATCAAGTTTCAGGAGCTTAGGTTTTGAGCTTGTTAAATTTGAGAGATCTGTTAGACATCCGAGTGGGTACACTGAGTAGATGGAGAAGTGGGTAAGTTTGAAGTTTGAATTATATGTTGGGCTGGAGATATGCCTAGCGATTCATAAATGTATAGATATTGTTTATATTTATACATAAGTGTACAGATATTGTTTTTAAAAAACTGGATGAAGACTGTGAAGACAACATGGTTTCTTAAAATCCAAATGAAGAGTATATTTCAAAAACGTAAAAGTTTTTAAATTTTTTTTAATTTTAAAATGAAAGCATTAATTTTTTTAAGTTGTAGCAATCATCGGTGTTAAAGAATGCTTATACACGGAGTAAAATTAAGGCCAAGAATTGATTATTGTCTCTTGCAGTAGAGTTCTTTATGTGTTTAACAAGAGCTATTGTTGTGTGTCTCTGTGTGTGTGTGTGTGTGTGTGTGTGTGAGAGAGACAGAGTTTCGCTCTTTCGCCTAGGCTGGAGTGCAAAGGTGCGATCTCAGCTCACTGCAACATCCACTTTCCAGTTTCAAGCGATTTTCCTGCCTCAGCCTCCCAAGTAGCTGGGCCTTCCACCACACCTGGCTATTTTTTTATTATTATTATTTTTAGTAGAGATGGGGTTTCACCATGATAGCCAGGCTGGTCTTGAACTCCTGACCTCGTGATCCTCCTGCCTCGGCCTCCCAAATAACAATAGCTATTTTGATTGAGTGGTAGGTGCCAAAAACTGGAGTGATTTCCAGAGAGAAAAAGAAATGGAATCAGTGATTACAGAATTTTTTAAAAGAATTATTTAAAGTATTTCTTTAAAATTTTCTGTAATTCTTTTTTGTTTTGCTGTAAAGAGGAAGGAGAAACAGGGTAGAAACTGGAGGAGAATAAGGGTCAAGAAAGTTTTTATTTGCTTCTTTTTTAAGGCAAAATGACAGCACGATTGTATACTGATGGATAATCCAGTGGAGCAGGAAAAACTGATGCTACAAGGGAGAAAAAAGAATTGTTAAAGCAAAGTCTTTGAAGAGGCAAAAAGGGATGGGATTCACTGTAAAGTAGAGGTTCGTATGATATAAAAACATGAACTGTTTCTCAACAGTAATGGAAGAGGAGACAAAGAATCTGGTCTGATATAGGCAGGCTGACATGCTTAGTGGTAAGATCATATGGAAATTTCCTTTTAATGACTTCAATTTTATAAATGAACTAGAAAGCAAAAATGTTATCTAAGAGAGGGCATGCCAGAACTATACTATTTCATTTACAATAGTTTCACAGTGTGTTCCTCCAATATTTTTATATTTTCCACAGTGCTTTTGTTCTATTTGCTAGCCACAGTTCTTAGCCATTTTTTTTTTTTTTTTTTTTTTTTTTTTTTGAGACGGAGTCTCGTTCTGTCGCCAGGCAGGAGTGCAATGGTGTGATCTCGGATCACTGCAACCTCCGCCTCCCAGGTTCAAGCTATTCTCCTGCCTCAGCCTCCTGAGCAGCTGGGACCTTAGGCACCTGCCACTGCACCCAGCTAATTTTTGTATTCTTAGTAGAGACGGGGTTTCACTATGTTGGCCAGGATGGTCTCAATCTCTTGACCCCATGATCTGCCCTCCCTGGCCTCCCAAAGTGCTGGGATTACAGGTGTGAGCCATAGTGCCCAGCCCATATATTATTCTTTTAAATGGCCTACAGTATCAGCCTTTCAGATTCAAACAAAGGAAAAATAGAATTTTGACTGAAATTAAATGTATGAATTTGAACATAATCAGCAGCTTAACAATATCATGTCTTTCTAGAAAACTGACCTGTCTCTCCACTTATTCCAGGCTTCTTTTATGTCCTCTAATAAAGGTTTATATTTTTCTATTTTCAGTTTTGTTCGCATGTTGTCAAATTCAATTCTCAATATTTTATATTTTTGCTTTTATTTTGGAATGTGAGCTATCCTTCTCTTATCTCATCCTATAGCATTTAAGACTAGACTGGATATTACTTATACAAAGGAAGGTAATTCAATTTCTGCCAACTGGTATTCTTGTGACTTTATCCCCACAAATTTCTCTCTCTGCAGCTGAAAAACACAAACTCAATAACCTCTGTAATTAAAAAAAATTAAATATAAAAATATTTACATTATTCCTATTGTACTGACTAGACAATTGAGTCTCAAAGACGATAATTTATCCAACATAATTGTGTGAATAATGACAAAAAAACACCCAGTTTTGGGAAAATTACAAATGCAATTTCTAGCAGACACTGCTTGGTTATCTAGTGTTTTGAAATAAACAACTCCAAAACTTCGTGGCTTGAAATAAGCATTATTTATCTTATTACAGTTGTTTGGGTTGATAATTTAGACAGAGCTTAGCTGGGATGGCTTGTCTTTGCTCCATGTTATGCTGACTTGACTCACTCATCTAGTTGCAGTTAACTGGCAGGGCAGCTGGAGCCTGGCTGGTCCCAGATGGCCACACACTTTGTGGCTGGTAGTTGCCTGGCACTCATAAGGTGCCTTCATTTTCCTCCACCTAGCCTATCCAGCAGACTATCTTGGGCATCCTGGGCTTCAAGAAGAAAACCGCGATGTACCAGCACAAGCCTCTGCTTGTGTTCATATGTGCAGATGACCCATTAGACAAATCAAGTCACATGACCAAACCCATAGTGATTATAGAAAGAACCTATAATGAGAAACCTGATTCATTTGGAGTTACTAATATAATTTGTTCTAGCCCTTAGCAGAATATTTCTACATTTTCTAGAACCACAGTATAAAATTTCAACTGGTCAGAGTTTAGGAAGCATGCATAGTAAGCCTAGTGAGGTAATTTGTGGGGATTCTTACTTTCAGTTTTGAGGTATAATTAGTACACAAAAAACTTAAAAAGCAAGAAAAAAGAATGCAACTTTTATAGGTGATTAAATATGTTTATTACCTGGGTTATATTTAGTTGTTTTAGTTTAAAATCTTTACTCTCATATCCCTAATTTTCCTCCTATCAATCTGCTACAGATGTCTGACATTTCAGCATTAGATAGCAAATCATTTGTGTTAAGAATTTATTCCTTATAAAACAACATACATATTTAGGAAATAGACTCAACATAAATTTATCAGAAAATTTCCCATGGGACTGCTAGCCCTCAGTACCTACATTTGGAATAAATAAGGATTTGTGCTCTATTTAAGGGAAAGAATGGGAGATCATAATTTTCGGGGTAAGATTGCTGCTCTGAGATAATTCTTGACTGAATATCACCTTTAGAAGTCCCTGAAAAGTCACCAGGATACAAGGGAAGGGAGCAAACTTTGAAGACTTACTTTATGTTTCAGTGAGTCTCAGAGTTTAAGTTTCAAAGTAGACAATCCTTCAGCAACTTTACCTTTGATTCATGTAATTCCTATGAACTTGTCTCCTATGCATTTGCTATCAAAAATAGCTTAATAAAATTTTTCTCGCCAAAAGTGTTTCTCCTTGCCGCATTTGGATTTTCAATTCATGGCAGTTTTTAATGGTGAGAAATACATTCTAAAGAACGGACATTTCTAACACTGGTATTTAGATTTTGTGTACTCACAGAAAATTTCTGTTTTCATTTCCTCATTTCTACAAAAAGAAAATAAGATTATTTCTATCCAATTTCAGGTAAAAGGTATAATGATGAAGCTTATATTATTCTAAAACTGCCTCAAGCTTCTTGAAATAGTGACATTGCATAACCATACTATTCTACCTTTAGTCCTACATGGTAATATGAAATAATGACCCAACAGCAAGAACCAAATAGCAGATTATAAATTAGGGTCAGTCTAACCCTCTAACATTAAGACTTATCATTTATTTCAATTACCATTAGTTTAACACCCATTATATATATATTAATATGTTTCAGTCTCTATGATTATATTTTATTTTCTTAGTATTGATGCAGATATAGTCAATACTTCCAGAGGGAAACACTTATAGTCAATATATTAGGTCTAAAATGAGAGGAGCAAGATGGTGGAACAGAAAGCTTCGCTGATCGTCTACCCTGCAAGGACACCAAGTTAACAACTATCTACACAGAAAATAATACCTTCATAAGAACCAAAAATCAGTTTACCACTCACAGGACCTGGTTTTACCTTCAAATGATTGAAAGAAGCACAGGATATTTAAGAAAAAAAAAAAAAGTCCTGAATAACCGATACCACCCCTCTTTGACCCCCTACCTGCCTCCTCCACATCTGTGGCTTGGTGCGGAGAGCATCTCTGGGCACTGTGGGAGAGAGAACACAGCAATTATGAGTCATTGAATTCAGTGCTGTCCTGTTAGAACAGAAAGGAAAACTGGATCAAACTCAGCTGACCCCTGCCCATGGAGACAACATTTAATCGAGAGAGCACTAGCCACAGAGTCCAAACTTGAGTGCCTACAAACCTTACCATCAAGGGCTACAGCATTCTGTGTCTCTGAGTAAACTTGAAAGGCAATCTTTGGCCATAATGACTGAAAATTTTAGGTGAGTCCTAGTGCTACACTAGGCCTAGAGACAGTGGACTTTGGGTCCATGGGGGGACATGACATATTTAGACACCAGCTGTAGCAGCCAAGGGAGTGCTTGTATCACCATGCTGATAACCCCAGACTGCACAGATTAAGGCTTCAAAAGAGACCCCTTCCTTTTGCTTAGGGAGAGGAGAGGAGGGGGAAGAGTGGGGAGGACTCTGTCTTGCATTTAGGATACCAGCTCAGCCACAGCATGATAAGGAATGGTCAAAGTAATGAGGCTCCCGTTCCAGGCCCTAGTTTTCAGATGACATTTCTAGACACATCTTGGGCCAGAAGGGAACCCACTGCCTTGGAAGAACAGACCCAGTCCTGGCAGCATACATCACCTGCTAACCAAAGAACCCTTGGGTCATGAATAGCCAGCAGTGATACCCAGATACTACACTGAGAGCCTTAGGTGAGCCTCTGAGACTAGCTGACTTAAGGTGAGACTCAGCACATAAACAGCTATGGTAGCTATGGGGCAAAACTGCTTCTGCTTGAGAAAAGCAGAGAGAAAAGTGAAGACGACTTTGTGTTAACACCTTAGGTACTAGCATGGTCACAGGGAATAGAGCACCAAGTGGGTTCTTGGGTTCCCTGATTCCAGGACTTGACACTTAGATGGCATTGCTGAACCAGCCCTAGGTCAGAGGGGTGCCCAATGCCCTGAAGAGTAAGTCTCAGGCCAGGCAGCAGAATTCATGAGAAGCTTACTTAAGAGACCTTGGGCCTTATGTGAGCATTGGTGGTAGTACTCCTCATGGCCTGGGGTGGCAGTGGCTATGCGGTGAGGCTTTTTTCCAAAAACCTCTTTGCTTTTGGAAGGAGGAGGCAAGAGTGGTAAGGATTGCATCTTGTGGTTTGAGTGACAGCTCAGCTGTAGTAAAACAGAACACCAAGTGGACTTCTAAGGTTTTTTATATCTAGTTCCTGACTCCCATATGGCACTTCTGAGCCCACCCAGGGCCTTCGGAACCACACTGCTCTAAAAAAAAGGACACAGGCCTGGCTGGCTTTGACATCTGCTGATTGTAGAGCCCCAGGACCTTGAGTGAATGTAGGCAGTAGCCAGGGAGTAGTTACGGCAGGCCTTGGGCAAGACCTAGCACTGTGCTGGCTTAAGATCTGACCAGCGCAGCCATAGTGGTAGTGGCCACAGGGGTGCTTATGTCACTTCATCCCTAGGTTTAGGTGACTCAGAACAGAAGAGAGAGAGAGAGAGAGAGAGAGAGAGAGAGAGACTGACTCTGTATGTTTAGGAAAAAGTAAGGAAAGAGAATAAGAGTCTCTACCTGGTAATCCAGAGAATTCTCCCAGATCTTGCCCAAAACCATGAAGGCAGTACCTCTACTAGTCTGCAAGAATCACCGAGATATTGGGTTTGGGGTGCTCCTAAAGCAGATACAGCTAAGATCACAACACCTAAGTCCTTTCAAACATCTGTAAAGCTTTCCCAAGAAGGATGGCTACGAACAAGCCCAGCCAGTGAAGACTACAATAAATACCTAACTCTTCAATGCCCAGATACTGATGAACATCTACTAGCATCAACACCACCCAGGAAAACATGACCTCAGAAAATGAACTAAATAAGGCCCCAGAAACGAATCCTGAAGAAACAGAGACATGTGACCTTTCAGACAGAGAACTCAAAATGGCTGTGTTGAGAAAACTCAAAGAAATTCAGGAGAAGGAATTCAGAATTATGTCAGATAAATTTAACAGAGATTGAAATAATAAAAGAATCAGGCAGAAATTCTTGAGCTGAAAAATGCAATGAGCATACTGAAGAATGCATCAGAGTCCTTTAATAAAAGAATGAATCAAGCAGAAGAATGAATTAGTGAACTTGAAGGCAGGCTATTTAAAAAAACACATTCAGAGGAGACAAAACAAAAAAGAATAAAAAACAATGAAGCATGCCTATGAGATCTAGAAAACAGCCTCAAAAGGGCCAATCCAAGAGTTATTGGCCTTAAAGAGAAGGTAGAGAAAGAGATAGGAGTAGAAACTTTATTCAAAGGGATAATAACAGAAAACTTCCTAAACCTAGAGAAAGATATCAGTATCCAAGTACAACAAGGTTATAGAACACCAAGCAGATTTAATACAAAGAAGACATTCTCAAGACATTTAATAATCAAACTCCCGCAGTGCAAGGATAAAGAAAGGATTCTAAAAGCAGTAAGATAAAAGAAATAAATAGCATACAATGGAGCACCAATGCATCTAGCAGCAGATTTTTCAGTGGAAACCTTACAGACCAGGAGAGAGTGGCATGACATATTTAAAATGCTGAAGGAAAAAAAGCCTGCCCTAGAATAGTATATCTAGCAAAACTATCCTTCAAACATAGAGAAATAAAAAAAAAGCTGAGGGATTTTATCAATACCAGACTTGTCCTATAAGAAATGCTAAAGACAGTACTTCAACCAGAAAGAAAGGAACATAAATGAGCAATAAATAATCACCTGAAGATACAAAATTTACTGGTAATAGTAAGTACAGAGAAAAACACAGAATATTATAACACTGTAACTGTGGTATATAAACTACCTTTATCCTAAGTAGAAAGATGAAATGATGAACCAATAAAAAATAAGTATAACAACTTTTCAAGACATAGTACAATAAAATATAAACTGCAGAAGGTTTAAAAGGGAGGGACAAAGTTAATGCATGGAGTTTTTTTAGTTTTCTTTTTGTTTGTTTTTTTAAGCAAATAGTGTTAAGCTGCCATCAGGTTAAAATAACGGATTATAA
Organism: Homo sapiens; assembly: GCF_000001405.40. Lineage (NCBI taxonomy): Eukaryota > Metazoa > Chordata > Mammalia > Primates > Hominidae > Homo > Homo sapiens. The sequence continues at coordinate 89,697,407 of NC_000007.14, forward strand.
GACACTATTTGCAAGTCTTATGGTAACCTCAAACTAAGAAACATACCATGGATACATAAAAAATAAAAATCAAAAGCTAAATCATATCACCAGATAAAATCACCTTCACTAGAGGAAGACAGGAAGGAAAAAAGGAAGAAAGACAAGACCGTTAAACTACCAGAAAACAAATAACAAAATGGCAGGCGTTAAGTTCTTACTTATTCCTAGAATAACATTCAATAATAATATTCAATAATAACATTGAATGAAAATTAAATTCTTCAACCAAATTACATAGACTGGATGAATGGATGGAAAAACAAGACCCATTGATCTGTTGCCTACAAGAAACACACTTTGCCTCTAAAGACACACACAGACTGAAAATAAAGGGATGGAAAAAAGATATTCCCTGCCAATGGAAGCTAATAAAGATCAGGAGTCATTATACTTATATGAGACAAAATAGATTTCAAGACAAAAACTATAAGAAGAGACAAAAGGTCACTATATAATAAACGGGATCAATTCAGTAAGAGGATATAATATTTTAAATATACATTTATGCAACACTAGAGCACCCAGATATATGAAGGAAGTATCATAAGAACTAAACAGTTAGGCCCCAATACAATAATAGCTAGAAACTTCAACACTCTACTTTTAGCATCTGACAAATCTTCTAGATAGAAAATCAAAAAAGAAAGATCAGATTTAATCTGCACTATAGACTAAATGGATCTAATACATATTTACAGAACATTTCATCCAAGAACTTAAGAATACATATTCTTTTTTTCAGCACTTGGATCATTCTCAAGGATAGATCATATTTTAGTTCATAAAATAAGTCTTAAAACATTCAAAAATAAAATAATATCAAGCATCTTTTCTGACCACAGTAAAATAAAATTAGCAATTAATAAAAAGAGAAATTCTGGAATCTATACAAATGCATGAAAATTAAACAGTATGTTCCTGAATGACCAATGTGTCAATGAAGAAATCAAGAAGGAAATTGAAAAAATTATCAAAACAGATAATAATGGAAACACAACATAGAAAAACCTATGGAATAGAGTGAAAGCAGCACTAAGAGGGATGTTTATGGCTGTAAATGCCTGCATCAAAAAAGAGAAAAAAATTTCAAACAAATAACTTAATGACACATCTTAAAAATTAGAAAAGCAATAGAAAACTACTCAAAATTAGTAGAAGGAAAAATAAGAATCAGAGTAGAAATAAAATAATTTGAAATGAGGAAGACAATACAAACGTCAACAAAACAAAAGGTTGGCTTTTTGTAAAGATAAAATTGACAAATCTTTAGCCAGACTGATGAAGAAAAAAAAGGGAGAGGACCCAAATAAATAAAACCAGAGTTGAAAAAGGAAACATTACCACCGATACTGCAGAAATTCAAAAAATCATTAGTGGCTAATATGAGCAACTATATGCCAATAAATTGGGAAATCTAGAAGAAATGGACAAAGTCCTAGATATATACAACCTATCAAGATTGAACCAGGTAGAAATCCAAAACCTGAACAGACCACTAACAAGTAATGAGATTGAAGTCATAATAAAAAGTCTCCCAGTAAAGAAAAGCCTGGGACCTGATGGCTTTGTTGCTGAATTCTACCAAACATTTAAAGACAAATTAACACTAATCCTAATCCAATGTTCTGAAAAACCGAGGAGGAGAGCGTACTTCCAGACTCATCCTATGAGGTCAGTATTACCCTGATGCCAAAAACCAGACAAAGGCACATCAAAAAAAGAAAATTACAGGCCAACATTTCTCATGAGGAAACATGCTCAACAAAATACTAGCAAACCAAATTCAAAAATACATTAAAAAGATGATTCATCATTACCAAGTAGGATTTATCCCAGGGATGTAAGGACAGTTCAACATATGTAAATCAATCTATTTGCTACATCGTATCAACAGAATGAAGGACAACAATGATATGATCATTTCAATTGATGCTGAAAAAGCGTTTGATAAAATTCAACATCTCTTCCTGAAAAAAGCCCCCAAAAAAACTGGCTATGGAAGGAACATACCTCAACATAATAAAAGCCATATATGACACACCTACAGCAAGTATCATATTAAGTGTGGAAAAATAGAAGCCCTTTCCTCTTAGATCAGAAACATTGCAGGGATGCCTACCATCACCACTGTTATTCAACATAGTACTAGAAGTCCTAGTTAGAGCAATCAGACAAGAGAAAGAAATAAAGGGCATGTGAGTTGGAAAGGAAGAAGTCAAATTATCCTTATTTGCAGATGATATCATCTTATATTTGGAAAAACCTAAAGACTCCACAGGAAAACTATTCAAACTGATAAATAAATTTAGTAAAGTTGCAGGATACAAAATCAACGTGCAAAAATCAGTAGTATTTCTATATACCAACAGTGAACAATGTGAAAAACAAACAATTAAGTAATCCAATTTACAATAGCCATACATAAAATTAAAAACCTAGGAATTAACTTAAACAAAGAAGTGAAATATATCTATAATAAAAACCATAAGCACCAATGAAAGAAATCGAAGAGAACAAAAAAAAATGGAGAAAGTATTTTATGTTCCTGGATTGAAAGAATCCATATTTTTAAAATGTTCATATTACCCAAAACAATGTACAGATTCAATGCAATCCCTACCAAAATGTCAATGACATTCTTCACATTTTTCACATAGAAAAACAATCCCAAGAAGACCCAGAATAGCCAAAACTATTCTAAGCAAAAATAGCAAAACTGGAGGAATCACATCACCTGACTTCAAATTATACTACAGAGACATAGTAACCAAAACAGAATGGTACTGGCATAAAAACAGACACATAGACAAATGGAACAGAATAGAGAACCCAGAAACAAATCCACACACATACAGTGAATTCATTTTGACAAAGGAGCCAAAAATATATACTGGGGAAACGATGGTCTTTTCAGTAAATGATGCTGCTAAAGGTAGATCTCCATATGCAAAAGAATGAAACTAGATCTCTATCTACCACCATATACAAAAATCAAATAAAAATGGATTAAAGACTTATATATAAGACCTCAAACTATGAATCTACTACAGAAAAGTATTGAGAAAAATCTCCAGGATATTGGTCTGGGCAAAGCTTTCTTGAGCAATACCCCACAAACACAAGCAAACAAAGCAAAAATGGACAAGTGGGATCACATCAAGTTAAAAAGTTCTGCACAGCAAAGGATACAACCAACAAAGTGAAGAGACAACCCACAGAATGAGAGATAATATTTGCAAACTATTCATCTGACAAGGATTAATAACCATAACATATAAAGAGCTCAAATGACTCCATAAGAAAAAGTCAAAAAATGGGCCAAAGGTTTGAATACATATTTCTCAAAAGACATACAAATGGAAAGGGTGCTCAACATCATTGGTTATCAGAGAAATGCAAATCAAGACTACAGCAAGGTGTCATCTCACCCCAATTAAAAGGCTTTTATCCAAAAGACAAGCAATAACAAATTCTGGCAAGGATATGGAGAAAAGGGAAACCTTGTACACTCTTGGTGGGAATGTAAATTAGTGTAAACACTAGGGAGAACAGTTTGGAGGCAGGTTCCACAAAAAAGCTAAAAACTGAGCTACCATATGATCTAGCAATCCCACTACTGGGTATATATTCAAAACAAAGGAAATCAGTATATCTGCCCTCTTATGTTGGTTTCAGCACTGTTTACAATAGCTAAGATTTGGAAGCAACCTAAGTGTCCATCAACAGATGTACGGATAAATGAAATACGGTATATATACACATTGTACCATATGTACCATATGCATATATGTACCATATGGTACAATAATAGTACTCCATATGGAATACTACTCCACTAAAGAAGACTCTAGATTGGGAGAAATGTAGGGGTGATGCCTTCAAAGTGAAACTTGGTCTCACCCTTCTTATGCTATTTTTATTTAGTTTTTTGGTCCACAGTTCCACTATTATGGTAGTATTAGTACTACCATAATAGTACTCCATATGGAGTACCATTCAGCCATAAAAAAGGGTAAGATTCAGTTATTTGCAACAACATGAAAGAACAGAGGATCTTTATGTTAAGTGAAATAAGCCAGGCACAGACAGACAAACATTGCGTGTTCTCACTTATTTGTGGGATCTAAAAATCAAAACAATTGAAATCATGGACATAGAGAGTAGAAGGATGGTTACCAGAAGCCGGGAAGTGTAGTAGGAGGCTGGGATCAGGGGAAGATGGGGATAGTTAATGGGTAAAAAATACTAGAAACATGTATGAAACCTACTATCTAGTAGCACAATTGGATGACTATAGTCAATAATAACTAATTGCATATCATAAAATAAAGAGTGTAATTGGATTGTTTGTAACTCAAAGGATAAATGCTTGAGGGTATAGATATCCCATTCTCTATTATGTGCTTATTTCACATTGCATGCCTATAGAAACACTTCTCATTTATCACATAAACATATACACCTACTATGTACCCACAAATTTTTTTTTAAATTTCTAAAAAAAAAAAAAAAATATTAGGTCTTACAATTACCCATTAGTAAAAATAAAGGCTAGAAAACTAAACAAATATTTATTTATTTGTATTTCCTTTGATAAGCATTAGTAAATGGATTTAGCTATATTCTGTAGGGAAGAGAGAGAAACAAATATTTGGAAAGCAGCCAAATTATTGATACAGTATCAATTTTTTTATGTGTCTTTCTTCCTTCTTTCCTTCTTCCTTCCTTCCATTCTTCTGTTCTTTTTAAATTGTGATGCATTTACTAAGTTGGGTAAAGGAAGGCAGTGGGAAATTAATTATTTCATTAAGTCAGAAAAGCAGTCATTTCAATGCCCAAAAGCAATTAGTGAAAGTTGCCAGAACTGGAAGACCATCTTCCTTGGTCTGATTGACTTTAAAAGCCAGTATGGGATGGCAAAGGTCAATTACCAGAGTAGTGAGGAAAGAAATAATTAAAGATAGGTAGGCAAGAGAAAGTACCAAGGAAAGCTGGCTGAACTGAGCTATGCCCAAGATGGAAACTTTTAGGTAAGCATGTGAAATGGGAAACAGTTGGAAAGCTAGATGGGTACATGGTATTGCAGGGTTTGGGGGAAGACTAGTGAGGATTTAGGCCTGATTGTCCGGCTTTAGTTGTTTTAATGGATGTGCCTGCTGATGAGCCCAAGCCTCCAGATAATAATTCCAGCCAGAAGGAAGCTGAAGAGCTGTAAGAAAACATTGCACGACCCATGATCTTGGGTTCACCTGAGACAGATTTTGGAGAAAGAAGGGAGCACAGAAAGAGTATGTTACTTTCAAAACTACAACAATTCGAAAGCTATTTTTTTAATTGCCAAGAAAAAAATAGGCTACCAGCTGTTTCTTCCCGTAGGAATTGACACAAGCCAACTCTCAGGAGTGATTTTCCAAAGAAAAGAACTGGCCCAGCCTAATCAGAAGTTTATCAAATATTCAACTTTACTTTTTAAAATATGTTTTAGTGCTACAGATGGGCCAAATAAAACAAAACAAAAACCCTGCAATTATTCCTTACAGTATTACCCTATTAACAGCTTGATTATTTTAAGATCTAATCTTGAGTTCTTAGAGGCAGCAGTTAATACTGTTTGGAGCAAAAGTTAGAATTAACAAAAAATGAGTTTACATAGAAAAAGATAGTATATTCAAGTCTCTGAAAACCCCCAAATAATCTATAGAAAACACATTTATAGGATATATTTGCATCATCTTTTCTAATGAAGTGTCCCATAATAGAGGTTGAATGGTTGGCAGGACTGTCCTAATGGTGCTTTCATACAGGAGGGACTTGTAAGTAGTCCTTGTGAAAGTCCCTTCAGTACAAGTCTAAAGTGCAGGCATTCTTAGTAACCCAGACAGATCTGTCTCTGTGATGTAGTCCTTTGAACTTACTTTGCACAAGACCAATCTATGCACTTCAGACCATAATACCTTATTGAGCATTCATTAATTCAGAACAGCAGACATCACATTATTCCAATGATTAAGTACTAACACTCCCTTGCATTGCTTCCCTTGTCTCATATCCATACCCATTTCAAAGTAATTAAGAATTCAGACTTGGAATTGTGACTCTCCCAGTGAGACTCCCAGCTCTGTTACTAGCAGTTTGGTCATAAGCAAGTTTCTTAGTCTCTCTGTGATCAAGCTCCTTCATTTGTACAATGGGACTAATAATGGCTTCCACTTAAGCATATTGTAAGAATTAAATGAGCTAATGCATATAAAGCACCCAAACGGTGTCTGGCAGAGAGTAACGATAGAGAACTTTGAGCTCTCATTAGAAAAATAGTAGGAACCCATGCTGTTTTTTCAACAGAAGGTTGTTTGGTAAGTATAAAATAGAAGATCCAGGGCAGAAGGTGGTGGGGGTGATGGTGGTCAGTGGTGGTGTTAGTGATGGCACTACACTTAATTTTGGAAAGTTAAATTAATAAGTTTGCTTTTATTTTCAAAATATAGGGTCTTCCTTAGTGAAGCAGTACTCACTAAATAATCTGGCAAATCTTCACCTTCTGAATCGAAATTTTCTAGGCTATCCACTTTTCTCTCTGAATCATTCTTTCTTTAGATGTGTTAATATCACTGATTACATGTAACTCAAGTGTGATTTCCTTAGGTCTTAGAGACATTATGTATAGATCAAATTAATCCAACTTTTAGTTTTAGAAGTACTTTTATAGCCTGCATCATATCCTGTAAGACATCAGATGGGATGCTACAGAAAACCCTGGTGATGTCCTGCTCCCTTTCATCTCTTCTCGTGTGTAGGCAACTCCTGGTACTTTGGATGAATTCCACCTTAAGGGCTCTTATTGCTCTTATACTTATGCCTAAACGCTTAAAATAATTATGTATTAAAGTTACTGTTGGAACTCTGCCATTAAGTATGTCGTTGTGTCCAATCAGAGTAATCATAGGCAAAACCCTATTTGTCACCTGCAACCTTCTAAATCTCCCTTTTAGCCATGTCTTTCTCACTCTCCTAAATACCTATCCAAACAACAAGACATCAGCCCATTTTTGTGGGCTGAAAGGATTTGTATGGGCAGAAAGGATTTTAGATGCTAATGATTTAAAACATTTTTCTCCAAACATTAACAGGATGTATCCGGCCATTAAAAAAATCAACCACACATCCTCAATCTATGTGTTTTTACATACTAATGATATACATATACTATTATGTATGTATATATATCATTTACTTTAAAAATGAACAGTAGACCCTAGACAATTAAAAGAATGAAATAACCAGATGTTAACAGAAGTCTTAACATTTTAATTATACATGCCAATGAATCATATTGCACATCCCCCAAGGTGAACATGCCCCAATTTAGAGAGCATTGCTTAAAGAATATGGTACACACCATACTGAAACTCCTAATTTTAAAAGCTAAAAAGAATTGAAGATGGAATTTGATATAAATCATGGTAGGGGATGATGAGGCACTGCCTCATTACTGTCCAAAGGAGTAGAAGTCTAGTTTCCCCCATTTGACCTCTGTTGACACTCCTCATTACTGCTAGGTGAGTGTAGGAGTCCAGCTCCCCACAAAGACTCCAATGACTCCTTGCTGGATGGAAAAGATAGCAATGTCTTGTTATTGCTCCCTGCATGGCTTCCATTGACACCACCTGGGTGGGGGTTGGTCTCATTATTGCTGTGTGGTGGTAAAAGACCTGACTCTTCACTGGGCCTTCTCTTCTACAACCCCAGTGGCAAGACAGTGGGATGCCTCATTATTATCAGATGGGATAAAAGTCTGTTTCACTACTCAGCATTATCTGACACCAGCCTGGGGGAAGACAGGAGCACCTCATTACAGCAGGGTAACAGTTGAAGTCTAGGATTCTCACTTAGCCTTTGCAGACATGGTTGGGGATGAAATTATGTTTTATTTTTTTTCCTGTGGTGCTTGTTATTATCTAAAATTGTTCTGTCTTGCTTGTCTACCCCTTTCTTGGTCCTTTGACTTGAAAGCAAAAATTTTTGTTCACGCTATTTGTGTCTGCACGTGGTGGCATTTACCAATTGCCTGCATCTTCAACTCCAAGTCTGAGTTATCTGGACCAACAGAAAATCCCTGGGAATTTACCACCATGCTGGTTCTTGAGTTCCAAAGTTGAGAGTGGTTTGCCTTCTTCCTGTCACCTTTCGGAGCCTTCTTAGATTATTTCATTATATAATGGTGAGCGTTTTACTTGTACTTGAGGAAAAAAAGTACAGCTCTTCATATTTCCAAAATTAGTAATAGAATTTGTTTTCTGTAAGATATTTAACTTCCTTGAGTATCAGTAGCCTCATTAACACAATGAAAATATTACATCTATCTTGCAGAGTGGTTGAAATAATTGCAGAAAACTTTTAAAAATATTATCCTGCCATGTTATATAATTGCAAAGGAAAAATGTGTAAAAGATGTCCCTAACAATGCTAGTTTTGTGAATCAACATAGTGTTATTTCTGTGAAATACTGTGTTTGCCTTTCTGGACTGCCACTCTAGCCCCCCCCCCAAAAAAAGTGTTAATTGCTTGAATGAATCAGGTAGTATTAAAGAAAAAAGGTGGCAGCCTGGAGCATGGTATATTCTAGCTATGACGGAAAGAAAGGAAGAAAAACAAAGAAAGGAGGTATTCTTCAAAGGAAACAGTGTGCAGATCTTTGTGGTATTTCTGTATTACTGCCAGCAATGGTGCCCAGAGGTACAAGCAGCATAGCTCATATGCAAAGCTGAGTTGGCCACTCCCAGAAGCACGGTGGAAAGTTCAGACTAGCTTGAGTCCCTAGAAGGCCAACCTCCATGCCCAGACTTAGACCCCACCCTAAGGCTCTGTCCAGATAGGGAGATACACATCACAGTGCCTTTCAGCAAATGCAAAGGTGAGAGTTACATCACCCAGATGTTCAAAAAGCATCCTGGCTCTGCCTCAAAGCCCATTCCAACTCTCTACCCAAGCAGGGAGGCAAACCTCAATCATGCATTTCTACCAAGCCTAGCAGCTGGGTTTGGCCATTCCAAGCAGCAATTCCATCTAATCTTGCAACCCAACCTGCAGCCCTGCCAAAATTACAGAACTCAAATAGTGGTGCTGGCCATCTAGGGAATATATCCTGTGCCCCAGCTCACCAGACGTGATTTCAACACCCAGTCAGTGGGTCCAGTGAACAGCAGAGCCCAGCCAGCAGCCCCATCCAACCCCAGAGCAAAGGCAGCCTTCCAGAGAGCTAGAGAACCTAACAGCAAGCACTACCTGCCTAGTGTTATTACCAGCTGACCCATCCAGAATAACTGTCTCAACTTCATAGTAAAGGTCTTTCCCTGCAAAAGAACACCTGTGAAGGATGGAGGACGTGGCTATCTCCCCAAATGTGCAGTTACAAATGTAAGGTGTCATGGATTACAAATAATCAAAATTATGAGACCTCCAAAATATGCTAATGAAGTTCCAACAATGTAGACTTATGAAATGCCTAATAAAGAATTCAGAATAGTTCTCTTTAGGAAGTTCAATGAACTACAAAAACATACAGATAGAAAAGTAAATAAAATTTGCAAAACAATAAACAAAACAAGAAGTTTGGCAAAGTAATATAAATGGTATTCTAAAAGCCAAATAAAAATCCTAGACATGAAGAACATAATGACTGAATAAATTAATTAAAAAGACAGTGTTGACAGCAAGCTCAATCAAGTAGAACAAAGAATCAGTGAGATGAAAGACAGGATATTTGAAATTATCCAGTCAGAGAAGAAAAAAAGAAAAAAAATGAAGAAAATCTGAAGAAATTATGGAACACCATCAAGGCACTTAACATTTATATAAGAAAAACAGCCAGAAAGTATGTTTATAAAGAGATAATAGCCGAAAATTTCCCAAATCTGGGAAAAGGTGCCAACATCCAGATACATGAAGTACAGAGATATTCAATCAAATTCAACCAAAAAGGAGTTCACCAAGACACATAATAATCAAACTGTAAAAAACTCAAAGACAAACAAAAATATCTGCAATCAGCAAGAGATAAGAAACATATGACATGCAAGCGTGTCCCAATACAGTTAGCAGATTTCTCAAAAGAAACCCTGCAGGCCAGGAGTCAGTGGAAATCTAAAACAATTAAACAAAGTAGCAAAAAGCAGAATAGTGGTCATCAGAGGCTGGGAGATGGAGAGAATAGGGAGGTGTTGGTCAAAGGATACACAGTTACAGTTAGAAGGAATAAATGATAAGTATTTCAGGTGATGAATATGTTAATTAACTTGATTCAGTCATTCCATGCTCTCTCTATATATCATATCATCACTGTTTACCACATAATTATATACAATTATAATTTTTCAACAAATAATTATTTTAAAACATAAATTTTATTTATTTAAAAAATTTTATTGGCTGGGTGTGGTGGCTCACGCCTGTAATCCCAGCACTTTGGGAGGCCAAGGTGGGAGGATCATGAGGTCAGAAGATCGAACCATCTTGGCTAACACGGTGAAACCCTGTCTCTACTAAAAATACAAAAAATTAGCCGGGCGTGGTGGCGGGTGCCTGTAATCCCAGCGACTCAGGAGGCTGAGGCAGGAGAATGGCATGAACCCAGGAGGCAGAGCTTGCAGTGAGCTGAGATAGCACCACTGCAGTCCGGCCTGGGCGAAAGAGTGAGACTCCATCTCAAAAAAAAAAAAAAAAAAAAATTATTTTAAAACTCTATTTATTTAAAAAATAAATAAATAAAAGAGATAACTACTAAAAGAGCAAAAGAGCATTGGTGAAACGGGATAATATTAACAATACAGGGTTTCTGTAAAGACTAAATAAATTAAGAAATGTTAACATATGATTTAAACTAAATTTTAGATAAATGCTGTGTGATTATATTTAATACTAGCAGTAGTAATATTTTAAAATATTTGTAAAACACATTATTAGGCCTTCCTTTTATAACTTTAGAGCTGGTTACACCCCAAAACAAAAGAGTTTCTCAGTTTGGTTTCTCAGTTACCTCAGTCTGGTTTCTAAAAGTAATTTATAAATCATTTAAATCTTTAATGTAATCTCAAGAAAATGTTAAAAAATAGAATCACATTCATAACGTGAAAAACAAAAAAATACTTTAAAATTCTCCTTCCCATCTTTCACATACTTCAGCAGTCTCTGGAATCTCCTGTTCATTCCCCAACACTTGTTATATATTTATTTATTTTTCTACACAAATAATACTATAGTTTAATTGTATTCTTCTCCAATTCCCTTCAGGAGAGACTTTATAAGGTAAAGGAGAGGCAGTATGTTCTCTTCTGCTCATTTAGTATTGCCTCTTGCATCATGCACCTCACCCAAATCCCACAGTTTTTTCATTGCTGGCGTTATGAAGCAAGATATATTGCAAATTTCATCTCACAATGAGGCAAAAATCCTACTACAGTTGAACAGACTTTTAGAGAGGGAAAAGGTAGATGTTGGTGTAGTGTAACGTATATAAGCACAAACTAGAACATGATAAGCTGAGTACAAATTTTGGCTTTACTACTTTTTAGCTTTGTGTCTTGGGCAATTTACATAAATGTATTTTTTCTAAGCAACGTCTTCTGTAAAATAAGGGGAATAATAGAGTCGTTAAAAGATTAAATGAATTAGTATAAATAAATACCTCAATACCTGTCAGAGAAAGTGCTAATAAATATATATATTATAATGTTTATTAAATCGTTGATTCCTTTAAATCACATTGACCTAGTTGTGCACTTTTTCTTCATTTGCCCTGACCAAGTAAATCAAACACATCAAAGACTGTGTATGAAAAACTTGTTTTTTTTCCTATGAACTTATGCATACATTGTATTGAAGGCAATACAGTATATAGTAGTAATTGTGTGCGATATCTTATGTGATAGAATAGCCACTGAAAAATAAAAAAAAATAAGGCCGTCACAGGATAACTGGCCAAGAAGAAGTTGGGCTATCAGTAAGGGAAGATGAGAGCTTGTCCTGATGCCTCCCCTACTCCTCCGCATTGGAAAAGGGTAAACACTGCTATCGCCCATAGTACTGGTGATCAAGGTTACCAGATATGATTTAAGGGCATTTCTGTACAACAAAAAATAAAATTGTATTTTCTTATCAATGTGATAGTGTGAGATAATAATTTAATTTCAATCCATTTATTAATTGTCTATAGAGTCAGAAATAACCTCCATCACAAAAAGCCATTCTCAACAAAGGCAGCAGGCAGAAATTGCTCACAGTTGTTCTCAGTGATGCTCAGATTACTCAAGTGAATTACTGGAAACAATGGATACTGACAAGAAAAGGAAAATGACTGGAGAGAATAGAAGTTGATAGCACTGAAATAAAAACCTTCCAATGGGGCAGGTGTATGTGGAAGTGCATGTCTTTGCATATTTCCCCAAGGAGAGGAGTAAAGAATGGCTTTGGCTGTGAGATGCATTTTAAAACTGTAAAATAAGAGGATCATGTATCAAATCAAATTGTGTTGGCCTGGAAACATATTACATTTTTGCATGATTTTGCTTTCCCTACCATTATTTTCATATGTATTAATTTACTTTAATATTCCTCCTATAACATTTATCCCCTTAATAGATATATGATGATGAAGATAGATGATAGGCAGAGAGAGAGGAGAGAGAAACTAGTTTTCAAATTGTTTGTTGGTGCTGACTCAAAAGCACAAACATCCAAACTCCTCATCACTTAAAATCTGTAGCAAATCCTGGAAATAACTGTGAATATTTTCTCTCATAATCATAATTTCTGAAATCTTTTGTAATTTACATTGTGTCACATTATTCTAGGACCATTCATTCATGACATCTATTGTCTAACCACTCAACATTTCCATAAGTCCATTTGTTATTGTCAGGGCACAAATGAAAGCCTTGTATTGGCACAAGAAACACCCATGCCAAGAGAATGTTGTTACCTCTGTTCCCAGCGCATGGCTACTAGATAGGACTACTTAAGCACAGAACACTGAAATAGCAAATATAAAATGCCATTGTAAAATGAGCTCTATTTATGTGTGCATATAGAAGGGAGAGAATAACATGTTGTTAGAAAGATGAATGAGATGAAAGAATAAAATTAAATTAGTAATTCAATTTAGTAAATACTAATTAGTAAATAAGTAATTACTTATTTACTTATTAGTAAATTAGTAAATAAGTAAATAAGGAATTAGTAAATAAGGAAGCAAGACATTTAAAAAATAATTTTAAATTAAATCCTTGGCTTACAAGAAAATATAAGTTGTTTTTAATCACAGGAAAATACCTGTATTTGAGAATACTTTTTGACCCAGATTTTTATTACATTCTGACAAGGCAAGCTCAAATGTTTAAAACATACTGTTACTTCTCATAGCTGACTGATGCATGAACCACATCAGGTTACAGAAAACGAGTTTCACTATTTGGAGCAGATGTATCTCTCTCACCCTAGTTTCCAGGTTGCTGTCATTTTCTAAATTACCACATTATGCCCTAGATTTAAATGTGTTATGAAAAATCTGCCATAAGTATAAAATGTAAGCTAATTTTTGCAATTATAAATGTTATTTCATTAGTTGAGATACATTATTGGACAGGAAAATTATTGTACTGTCTTTTTGTTTTCTAGAGCACAATTCACTTAGCAATTTAGGAAATAATCTCCTTTAGAATAGAATCCATTATGGTAAATAGTTGACATCATTTCAATAAGAGAAAGTAATGCTACCAAAGATGTATAGATTTTCTATATTGACTAAGAAAAAGTACTCTAACCAATGTCTTGTTATGTAACAACTACATTACTTCTGCTCAATTGTTTGAAATGAAAATGTCACTCTGGGATCCCAGCATACTTTAAGAATAAGCAGCTCTGCATCTCAGATCAGCTGCACACTTAAAAATGCGCTCTCCAAGAATAGCCTGCAGTCTATGCCAATTGCAACTAAACAGACCTGGACATGTCACTGTTACTGATGTGACACCTGCCTCAGTGCCCCTGTTTCTGCATTCCTTCACAGCACTTGCATCCAGGAAGATTCAAGTCCTTCTCTCATTCTGATTTATTTTGCTGCAGGATTAATAACAACAAACACATATGGAATACTTATTTTTATGACAGGCACTATCTAAATGCTTTGTATATGTGAACTCACATAATCCTCACTTAATCCCTTTGAGGTAAAAACTATTATTATTCTCATATTACAATTACAGATGAGAAAACCAAGGCACAGAAAACTAAATGCATTGCTGAAAGTCACTCAGCCAAGGAGAAATGGAGCCAATATTTGAAGTTAGGCAGCCGCTGTTCAGAGTCCACTCTCCTAAGCATTACTCTCTGCTGCTTTAGACATAGCATGGCCAGAGAAAACATGGGACATTCAGTTAACTATCAGTAAAATATAAACCACCAGGGATAGGTTACTTTTAGCATAAATATGTTCCAAATATTACATAGTGAATACCTATACCAAAAAAATTTTATTTGAAATTCAAATGTAACTGAGTGCCCTGTATTTTATTTGCTGAATCTGGCAACCCCAGGAAGACTGTCACTTACCCTGACTTTTCTGAATAATGTTCCTTATTCCACATGGTCTACACAACCTTCACTAGTGGCTTGGCAATTACCAAGGCTATCTCCTAATCCATCACCCTAGGTTGCTTTAGCTGCCTGCAAAAATAGCAACACTTTAGAGTAAGTTCTCAATATTGTAGATCAGTGGTTGGCAAACTTTCTCTGAAAAGAGCCAGATAGCAAATATTTTAGGCTTTGTGGGTCATACAATCTCTGTTGCAACTATTAAACTCTGCCAATGTAGCAGGAAATTCATAGACAATATATGACCAAATGAGTGTGGCTTTCTTCCAATAAAACTTTATTTACAAAAATAGGCAGCAGGCTAGATTTGGCCCATGAGCACTAATTTGCTGATTCCTGCTATAGACTCTTCTGGCAGATTCTGTGAGGTGAGTTCCCTGTCTGAGAACAATCAACCCAACCTAAAGACACCATAGGAACATAAGATCTCTCTGCAAGTCATCTTCTGTTTAGTGAAAGAAGTCTTCAGTGAGAAATTGCTCTTCAGTATCTTCCAAAACAGGGCCTCTTCTTTTCACCATCTGTGGTAGTTTATCCTCAATGATGGCCACCAAGAATTTTTTTCTTGTATCTGCATACTATTCCTTCCTTCAAGAAATGGAGCCTATTTCCCTTCCCCTAGATTGTGTGCTGACCCTGTAATTTTCATCAACCAATGAAATAAAGCAGAAGTGGCACTGTATCAGTTCAAGGCATAGCCATTCAGAGGCTTAACAGCCTCTACTTTCACTCCGTGAGAGCCCTGAGCTACCATGACTTCTGCAAGAGATGCTAAGATGCCATATTGTCTTAAAAAGTACAGCAAACTCAACATTTCCTGTATGGGCTGAAATGTGTTCCCCTGACTTCAAACTTATATGTTGAAGCCCTAACCCTCAGTACCCCAGAACTTGACTGTGTTTGGAGGTAAGGGCTTTAAATATGTGATGAAGTTAAAATGAGGCTATTAGGGTGAGCACTAATCCAATCTAACTGGTGTCCCAATAAGAAGAGAAAATGTCAACACGCAAAGAAACACCAGGGGCTCTCATGCAAAGAGAAAAGGCTATGTGAGGACACAGTGAAAAGATGGCTATCTGTATGCCAAGGAGAGAGGCAAGAAACTAAACTTGCTGGTATTTTGTTCTTGGACTTTCAGCCTCCAGAACTGTGAGAAAATAAATTTATGTTGTTTAGGCCATCTAGTCTGTGCTATTTTGTTATGGCATTCCAGCAAACTAACACATATGCCAAACCTTCCCAACTACAACAGTACAACTTAATTTGGAATCTGCTTCTCCTTTAATACTATTTAGAGCAGTAGTACATAGGACTCTGGCCTTATATTTTGCTTCTATCTGTTGTCCATTTAAAATCCAGCCACTATAATATACTTGTAGCATACACAAATAAAAATTCCATATAGATTAATAATCTAAATGTGAAAATCTAAAGTTTTAAGCTTTTAGAAGAGATAATAACACATAAATTTTATCATCTCAGCAGAGGGAAGAATTCCTAAAATAACTCACTAATAACACAAGCATTAATGAAAATAATACATACAATTGACTATATCAAAATAAAATATTTGTGTGAAAAAATTTACCATAAACAAAATGAAAAAAAGTCATATACTTGAAGAAAATATCAGTAACACATATAATTGATAAAGGAACAATATGTGGATAATATTAAAAACTCATACAAATAAGAAATAAGATTAAAAATCCGATTGAAAAATAAGCAAATCTAATAAATTAGAAATTTAGAATAGTGGAAATTTAAATGTATAATAAAATAAAACTCATCCCACTAGTAATTCAGGTATTACAGTATTAACCACGTGGTATACTATTTCAACTAATTAGATTAATGAATAAACAAACAAAAATAAAGTGAGACAAATCCAGGTACTGGTAAGGATATAGTTTAGCAGAAATACACAATACACTGTTAAGGAGAAAATAAGATGTCAATAAATACAGTGAATTTTAAAATATGCATATTCTATGACCCAGCAACTATACTCTTGACTTAACAATAGATTATCAATTTAATTATAAATTGAAATGCCTAAGGAGTTTTCTATTTATTTCATCTTTAATACGAGTACTTAAACCCTACCCCAAAAACAAATGAATAAGAATCTCTGAGGGTGAGGCTCAAGCAATAATGGAGGTATTGCAATCTGCAGCCAGTGTAGAGAAACACGTCCTAGAAAAAATTCCACATGGATACACAAAGTGACAGCTATAATGATACTCATTGCAATATGGTCTGTCATAGGCAAGAATTGAAAACAGACCAAATGTACTTTGCCAGGAAGATGGATTAATAACTTGGCATAGTCACATATGGAATATAAGAGAGTAGTTAGAATTAACAAGTTAGATTTTCATAATACAACAACTAAATAAACCTAAAAACACAGTTTTAAATAAAAGTACATTATTCAGAACTATATATCTAAGAGTATTAGAAATTTAAAATATGTAATTAGTACAATCTATTACTTGCAGCTACCTAACATACGGGGAAATTTTCAAAACTTTTTGGGAGTGATAAATACTAAAAAGTCATATAGTATAACACTAATTAATTCTGAAGAAAGAGAGGAGGGAAACATTGGGGAGAATGAATATCAAGGGAGCTTTTTGTTTTACTATGTATTTAAGATGTCACTTAAAGTCAATACTAAAAAGAAGCACATGTGTCAAATTGTTGAGATTTGATTAAACTGGGTAGTGGTACATTTGAAATATTTCAAAAGACTGAAGGAGGAGGTGAAGAATGGAAGATGGAATAAGACACTTTGAAAGATGCTAATCTTTGGAAATTGGGCCAAGGATAAATGGTACTTGAATCACAAAAATTGAACATAAAGTCATTTAATTTTATTTTTTCATCATCTATATTGTTTAAAAATTTTGTATTTTATCTGGAGCTCATCCTGCATGGAGAATCACAGTAGAACTTCAAACTACATGCCCTAAGAATGAACTTTTTGGGATCTTTCATACTATAACACCAAGCTCCCTAACACCAGTGCCTATGATAACTATAAACTACCTAAACTGAGCTCAGTAAATTTGCATGTCTGTGTGTGTGTGTGTTTGAAATAATAGTTTGCAATTAACATGTCTAGTAAAATCAAAATTGTTTGTTCATAGGTGCTTTAGCCTATGCCTTCTACCTTTAGGTCACATTTTTGGTGAAAAGTCATTCATTGTTTTTTAACATCATAATAAACTTCCCCATTCGTGGTCTTTGTTACTCTTGTTATTTTGCATCTTATGGTCTTTATGTTCCATCTGCCTTCCCATCAGAAATGTTGATGCCTCAATAAAACCTATTTGCTTCCTAGTTGGCTGGTGCTTCTTCGTTTGCAACCTAGTTGGCTGGTGCCTCTTGTTTTGTAATATTTTAGGTTGATCATATTTTTGTTACTGAACTTTTTTTTTTTGAGTCAAGGTCTCTCTTTGTGCCCAGGCTGGAGTGCAGTGGTGCCATCTTAGCTCACTGCAGCCTCAAACCCCTGAGCTCAAGTGATCCTCCCACCTCGGCCTCCCAGATAGCTGAGACTATAACCATGCACCACCACGACAGCTATTTTTTAAAATTTTGTAGAGACAAGGTCTCACTATGTTGCCCTGGCTGGTCTTGAATTCCTGGGTTCACACAATCGTCCCACCTCAGCCTTCCAAAGTACTGAGATTACAGGTGTGAGCCACAGCACCTGGCCTGTGACTGATCTTTTGACATTGTATTGTAATCACTGTTTGCATCATTGGCTCCCAGACTAAATTGTGAATCCCCTGAGAGCAAGAACCATGGTTGCTTCTTGCGCAGGATGCCTTCATCTGCTGCTCGCAGATACCCAGGAGCCAAGATGAATTTTCTTCTTTGGCCAACCTGAATATTCAGAAGTGTCTTGTGAATGCCCCCTCAAGTCAGCTCCCACCTACTTTTCATTAGTTTATTCACTTTTTTAGGGCAACTTATATTTTGTCCACTTCTCCTTGCTTTTTCTTTCATAGGCATTTTTGTGACCTTTCCTTTGTCTTATTCCAAAATGTTAACTCTAGTTCCTACGATAAGCTCTCTGAGTTCTGAAACTCCATAGAACTTGCTCATAATCTCAGATCATGCGTTCATTATAGCAGTTATGTCTTTATATACTCATGTTTGATCTCTCTTTCTAGAGGACAGAATCCTCCCCTTTCCCCCGCATATCCTCAATGATCCAGCATTTCTCAAAGTGCCACCCTGACCACGTGCATCGAAATAACCTGAGGGTATTTTTCATAAAACATATTTATAGCATCCTTTCCAGAATCTCCAGGTCCAGAATCTCAACTTTGCATATTAACAAGTAATCTAGGAGATGGCTATAAAACACAATTAGCATACAGGATAAAAGGAAATAACTAACCTTTTAAAACTATTTATTTTTGTTCCAAGGGTTTTCTACATTTTAGCAGATTTAATGAAAAAGGTATTACTATCCTGAATTTATAGATGAGAAATTGAGAATTAGAAAGTGTGAAACATAGTCTTTGGAGGATGGCCAGGGTTTAAATCTCTAATTAATTACTCAACAGCTATGTGAATTAGGGTCAAGTTACCAACATTTCTGTGCTTCAGTTTCTTCTTTCAAAGTAGGAATAAAAATGGCAGCTATCTTGTGCAAGTGTTAGGAGGGCTAAATGAGATGAGAAAGCTGTGAGAAAAATGCCGAACACATGATAGTCCTCAGCAAATCTTAGCTTGTGAGACTACTGAATCCCACACTAAGCGATAGTGGAATTGGGGTTTATCTTGGACCAGGACTCGGAAACTTATTTTAAAGGACTAGAGAGTAAATATGTTAGGCTTTGCAGGTTACATAGTCTGTCTTAAGTACTCAACTTCAATCCTGTATCAGGAAAGCAGCCATTGACAAAATGTAAAAAAAAGAAAAAAAAAGAAAGAAAGAAAATCCGTGTGGATATATCCCCATAAACTTCATTTATGGTGAGAAATTTATGCATTGATGTACTCTTCTTAGGAGTTACTAGCCCCTTAAAGCCATGAGTTTGTAATTATCCTTCTTTTTATAATCATGCAATTTATTACCTATTTCCTGCTAGGTATTACAAAATTCTGAGCTAGCCACAGGCACTTTGCTTAATCAAATATTCATAAACTAAAAAAAACTTTATTTATGGACACTAAAATTTGAATTTCATATAACATTCACATCATTAAATGTTGCCATGATTTTTTAAATCATTAAATAATACAAAAAAAGTATTCTTAGCTCCCAGGCCATTCAAAAACAAGTAGTTGGCCATATTTGGACAGAAGACTATAGTCTGCAGAACCCCTACCTTCACATATCAGATTTGAAAGCTTTTGATACCTCATAGTTGCCTACTAAACCTTGAATGCAATGGCTATTCAGTTATTTAATTGGTTAATACAAGATGATTTCCAAGGTTTCTGCTCAGTATCTGAATGCCAGAAAGAAATTATTAAAGTGGAATCCCTTATCACTTCTTGGTTTTGTATCCTTTGAAACTACTTAAATTCTATCTCAACTTTTAATTTGTTAATCCCCTCGTCTTCCTACCTGCATCAGCCCCTTTTCCTGTTATGCTCAAATCCACATCCAAAAATCAAGATGATGATGCATTATAATTACCTTTATAACTTTGTCAATCACTTTTTCTCGCCTTCAATTAATCCACAAAAGAGAACTTTTAGAGACTAAGTCTGGCATTGTCTAATCGGACTGGAGATTTGCTTCTTTTAGGCATATTGATTGTACAGCTTGCCCCACTTTTTGAGATATCCTTCCATTAAATTCTAGTCAAGACATTAAAAGCAGGATCTGCTGGCAACAATTACTGGTGAAACCAGCATAATATAATAAAAAGCTTATATGTAGGATGAATAAGTATAAAGATCCAATGTATAACATAAAGACTAAAGTTGATAAAGTTGTATTTTATTAGGGATTGTTGTTAATCAAGTAGATTTTAGCTGCTCTTGTCACCTTAAAAAGTAACTGTGAAATAATAGATATGATAGTCTGCTTCATTACTATAACCATTTTGCCATCTATATGTATCCTATAACATCATGTTGTAAGCCTCAAACGTATACAATAAAATTTATGTTTTCAAAAAAGTCTTATGAATTAATTTAGTACTATGTAACCCATACTGGGGAATGGACAGACAGAGGGATAGAACATTAACAAGACATATGGTTGCCAGAACATCATTTGGCTATTGTTAGTCCATTTAAATAATATTTGGATAATTCTAGGTTAATTATTAAATACAGATGTGATTGAGACACTTAAATGTAACAGTACACAAAAGATTACAATTAGTTCTGAGGCAGAAAAAAAATGCAGCGACACCTTAACAAGTCAGATATGACACACATTTTAAAAATAAACTTCAGAACTAGACCTTGGGGCACTCTTGACGTCCCCACAGCCCTGCGCCCCTCGTCCCTTTTCATGTCTCCTGGAGGTCGGCAAGCTGCAGTTGCAGCAATCTCATTTAAATTTAGGTAGTTGAATTTTTTAGAATTAAGTTTTATATGTTTTGAGCAATAAATTGTCTTAAGATATATATTTTAGGTTACTTCCAAGATGGCCAAATAGGAACAGCTCCAGTCTACAGCTCCCAGTAAGATTGACGCAGAAGATGGGTGATTTCTGCATTTCCAACTGAGGTACTTGGTTCATCTCATTGGGACTGGTTGGACAGTGGGTGCAGCCCATGGAGGGTGAGCCAAAGCAGGGAGGGGTGTTGCCTCACCCGGAAAGTGCAAGGGGTAGGGGGATTTCCCTTTCCTAGCCAAGGGAAGCCATGAGTGACTTACCTGGAGGAACGGTACACTCCTGCCCAAATACTGCACTTTTCCCATGGTCTTCGCAACCAGCAGACCAGATTTCCTCCCATGCCTGGCTTGGCAGGTCCCATGCCCACAGAGCCTTGCTCACTGCTATGTCAGCAGTCTGAGATCAACCTGGGAAGCTGGAGCTTGGCAGGGGGAGGGGCATCTGCCATTGCTGAGGTTGAGTAGGCAGTTCTATGCTCACAGTGTAAACAAAGCCACAGGGAAGCCCAAACTGGGTGGAGCCCACTGCAGCTCAGCAAGGCCTACTGCCTCTCTAGATTCCACCTCTGGGGGCAGGGCATATCTGAACAAAAGGCAGCAGACAGCTTCTGCAGACTTAAACATCCCTGCCTGACAGCTCTGAAGAGAACAGTGGTTCTCCCAGCACAGCGTTCGAGCTCCAATAATGGACAGACTGCCTCCTCCAGTGGGTCCCTGACCCCTGTGTAGCCTGACTGGGAGACACTTCCCAGTAGGGGCCAACAGACACCTCATACAGGCAGGTGCCCCTCTTGGACAAAGCTTCCAGAGGAAGGGTCAGGCAACATTATTTGCTATTCTGCAGCCTCCGCTGGTGATACCCAGGCAAACAGGGTCTGGAGTGGACCTCCAGCAAACTCCAACAGACCTGCAGCTGAGGGGCCTGTGTGTTAGAAGGAAAACTAACAAACAGAAAGGAACACCATCAACATCAACAAAAAGGACATCCACACCAAGACCCCATCCGTAGGTCACCAACATCGAAGACCAAAGGTAGATAAAACCACAAAGATGGGGAGAAACCAGAGCAGAAAGACTGAAAATTCCAAAAACCAGAACACCTGTTCTCCTCCAAAGGAACACAACTCCTCACCAGCAAGGGAAAAAAACTGGAGAATGAGTTTGATGAGTTGACAGAAGTAGGCTTCAAAAGGTCAGTAATAACAAACTTCTCCGAGCTAAAGGAGCATGTTCTAACCCATGGCAAGCAAGCTAAAAACCTGGAAAAAAGGTTAGATGAATGGCTAACTAGAATAACCAGTGTGGAGAAGTGTTTAAATGACCTGATGGAGCTGAAAACCAGTTCGAGAACTTTGTGAAGCATACACAAGCTTCAATAGCTGACTCAATCAAGTGGAAGAAAGGATATCAGTGATTGAAGATCAAATTAATGAAATAAAGTGAGAAGACAAGATTAGAGAAAAAAGAGTGAAAATAACTAGACATTTTTTAAGTTGAATGTCAGCTTTTCCTCTTATTTTAGAGAAAAGATGAGGGTACACTTTTCCATGAACAATCTGAATCTCTGCTTCTCTGGGAGCATTGTGCTGTCATTTCAGCAGTGCCATTACCAACCCATTAATAGGTCTTTTGATTAAACTTCTGTCCCTGAAAATTCCCAGTGCATCATCCAAAAATCAAAAGCCAGGATGATTTTATACCTCTGAAATATCTTGATTTTGTTAGCACAGAATATTTAAAAATGGCCTCTGCCTGTCTCATTAGACATAGCCTTAAATGAGTAGCTTTTATATGATAATCATAATGAATACTAAAACCTCAGCAAGGAATTATAAATACACCTATGTCTTTTTCTTCACATTTTCATCCAATGTAATAGAAGGATTACCAAGAAAAACACTGAAATCAACATTTAAAAATTTCCTTTTCACGGCATTCCTTCTGTAGTCTAAAAATCACTGGGCTAGGACTCAAGGCCTAAATTCAAATCATTGTTCCATCTCCTGTTGGGCCCTCATTTACTATGTTTTTATGGGGTGACCAACTTTAAGTGTTATTATTGATATCCTAGAATATTTTGTGATACCTTCATTAAGCACCTCATCTTAACATATGGAGTAATAATTCCTCTACTCATTTTCCCTAGTCATGTTACTTACCTATGAATAATCTTCTGTACTCCCCTGACTTTCTGTCCTTCTGTCTAATTAAAGAGCAGGTAAAGGAAGTGTTCCTGAATGATACTAGGCAGAAAGGATGCCGGACTCAACATTTAGGCTGATAGATGTAAAAAAAAAAATTAGAGGTGGAGTTTGTTATTCTCAGTCCTGACTGAATGCCATCTGGGTCAAGATGGAAGAACAGAAACAATAAATAGGCCAATAAATATTCCAAATCCTAACGTCCTCTGCAGAACTTTTTCCTGAATTAACTTTATTTTGACCAAAAGTGTCTTATCCTCTAGACACATGGCCACAGCTCCTCAATTCATCCTGCTCAATTAACCAAGCATCTGCCTACAATAAGCACAATACAGATGACATTTACTTCAATACCTTGAATTATAGTTGAATCAACCATAATCTCTGAATCTTCAGGGGCAAAAATTATGTTTGTTTCATCTTTGCATTCATGTCATATTCATTGACATATCATTGATCATCAAAAACATTTTGTTGGCTGAATGAATAAACATATCAGCTCACCCATTCAGACCAATAAAAACTATTTGACTGACTAATTCATGATTTGACTGAACTGCCTTGCTGGCTTGATTATTTTTCCCTAAACAAGTCAGACAGAGTGTTTTGATCTGGTGTGCGTATTTAGACAAAGACTCAGAAGATCTGAGCTAGTCTCTGGCCCATTCTAAGGAGTACTGGATCATGCCTAACACTGTGTCTACTTCTCTCAAATTCATATTCCTTACCATTATTACAAAGTTAATAACGGGAATACAAAACAGATCATTACATTTCCTGCAGGCATAATAAAGGTGCCTATTTTCATGCCTGTAGGCAGGTAACTAATTACTATTTCATTTTTCTTCTGAGTTCTTCAAAATATACCATAGGCTTTACTTTATTGGTTTTTGGTTTCCTTGTTACAGACAAAATGTTTCAGTAGCATGGATGGAATGAAATTTGCCCAAGGACAGGCATTAGAACTCAGGTGTCCTGGTTTTCAATTCAATGTTTCTTCCTACTTAAAAAAAAAAAAATAGGAAAAATCTGCTTTTTCTACAACCAGAGATGCCTGAAATAAAACAGTGGATTTTTTAAAATTTTATTTGAACAATTGTGCTAAGCTGAGAAATTATTATACGTGGAGGCTCATGATTCCTTTAAATTTCAAAATGATTTCAGGTTTCTCAATATTTATAAAACTGGCATTATTATTCTCCTCTTGCTTTTTAAATAACAGGCCAAACAAAACATAAGATTATCTCTCTCCATCGACAGATTATATGACCCTTTCTAGGAAACATAAATCCATAATAATCAATTAATGCTAATATTGTAACTTTGCATAGAGCTTTGTTTGTTATAAGTAATACAAAAGTATTAAACATAAGGGTATAGTCACCATGGTTTATTTATACATATGGCAAAAGAGAACCATATACATATAAATAAACCCCTGTGACCAAGACATAGCTGACATATCGTAGCTAAACCAAACTGCTATTTTGAGCCTTGTCTTTTTCTGACATAATCCAGGTTTGACAAATGACCAGATTTATTCACAGGACTTAGTTTTGTTTCAGAAGAGCAAAACATCTTCAAAATGATATATTGGCATGTTTTCAGAAACTACAGACTAAAATTGAAATTTATAAATTAATAAATTACTGTTTTATAAATCTTACATTTTCCAAGAAATGATTTACCAGGATGTTGAGGATCTGGAATCCCTCATACAATGACACTTTCATTGTCATATTTTAACCTCTAAAAACATATCCTATTTCAGCTATGCAGATTTGAAGATGGTCACTTAGTATTCTGCCTTATTTTTAGAATAAGTTTCAGTAAGTTTCTTCAGGGATGCTAGCCATAAATATATACTTCAAAGTCACTGCTATTGATTAAGAAACATAACGTCTTATCAGAAAGAATAGTATGAGGCTGTCATCCAAGAAGAACTTTTCACAAACTAACATTCCACAAAAATTGGAGCCAAACTGTGAACCAACCACCTGAATCCAGGTGGATCCAGCTTACAAAGTCACTGCTTGGCTCTTGCTGCCTTCTCAGCACTGTCTGCTTTCTGTTTCCTCCATATGGAGTTAATAAGTGCTAGCTAGTAAATTCTGGATGCAAATCAGAGTAAGAGGAGATTATTTTTCACCTTGAGCAGAAGCATATTCAGTAGGAAGCCAGTAGGTATTCTGACACACCACGATATTATAACTTGTCCAACCTTTATTAGGGCACCCAGAGCATCCAGCTCTGACTGGAATTAGCTGTGTGACCTTGGATTGATCACATAATTTATCTGAACAGTTTATCCATCTTTTTCTATGCATAATAATGCCTACTTCCTCACAGAATTGTGTTATTAATGCAGTGAGCTAATGCAGATGTGATCTGAGATATCCCCTTATCGACTAAGACAGATCCGAAAGTTAGGGAAACAAAACTTACTTACAGGTGGAGAGTTCAGGGCTCAGCTGGTATGGTAAATTCCTAAATTCCTAAGGCTATAAGAAAAGTCACACTCTTGCTAAACTCCCCACAAATAGGAGCTATCAGACCCCTCCTAGTTCTTATATACAACCCAGATTGCTACAATTATGATGCTTGGACAGAGAACTGGCCTTACAAACAGTCCTTTCTGATAAGCAACTAAAGATCTTAAGACAGTTTCAGCCAACTTATTGAGGCTCTCCACGAACTGCACATTTTAGTGCTAAAACCCTGCCCCAAAGTGAACATAGGACATGCATTACATATATGTTTACCCATTGCACGTGCACTTGGCTGCCATCATGAATATGTATAGCTTTTCCCCCAAATCTACTGAATGTATATGATTCTATTGTGTGATACAGGCCCTGTGAGGCATGAAAACCCAAACTGCCCCTTCCCTCCTTGAAGAGAAATCACCTTCCAGCACCTGCTGGAGATTGTCTCTTCCCAGTTTGCAAACAGTTATTGCCAAATAAAGCTCTCTTTTCTACTGTTTAGCCATCCTGGTGGTCTTTTGGACAACACAGGTAAAACTGCTGTACAAGGATAAAGGTGTTATGCAAACATCTAGGTGATAGTTTCCTACAGAATACTGGGTTCAGTTTCCACATATATCCCTCAAGAGAAAGTGAAAGAATACAGAAATTAAAAGCTCTGTGATAACTTTGACATTTTCTAATGTAATATATTTCTTTCATAAACAAAGAAACAGAGACCCAGAGTGATTAAATTCTTTATCTAAAAATCACAGAACTCTACAGTGGTATAACTGACAGTAAAATGCAAATCCTTTGATGCCCACATCAATGCTTGGTTAAGATAGCTCATCCTAGCCTCATAGTCCAGCATACTTTGTTTCCAAAATATTGACATATTTTTGTAACAATAAACTATCCTTCATATAGCTTCTCTGACATTTGATAGGAATAAAGTCAACTTCATAAGCAAATTAAAATCAAGAAATGTGTTGTACATAATAAATACAATTTTATTTGTCAATTAAAAATTAATTTTAAAAGAGAAATGATGGAATTCGGGCACCAAAAGAAAAGGGAGAGATTAAAAAAGGGTAGTTAAAAGTTTATCAGAATACAAGTACTACTGCATCACTTTTCAGAAACACAACAAAATACAAGATCAGTACAAAGAAATGCTCTTCTCTAAGTTGTAGCCAACAGATGACTTACAGAATTTGTTTTTCTTATCTTTGTGGATCATGATAAAAATTTATTTATTCAGCCTGTAAAAAGAGAGATACCTAAAGTATATGAGGAAGGCAGTCATTATCTTTTTAATTCTGTGAGTTTCTGCCCAGAGGTACTTCCCACTCCTACATATACACATAGGAGTATAGTGAGGGGACTAAATATATGGGGAGATTTTCAGTACAGCTATCCTGTTAGTCTCCCTTCTGTCTCTCCCACAGTAAATAAAACACAAATGCTATTATGTTTCTTTATCAACACAAATATATCTAGAGCAACTAACAAAAATAGTCTATAATACTGGAGATATTTTTTCCTTTGGTGGCATGAGATCGTTTTTAAATGTTTTCTTTTCCTCACTTTTTCTTTTCCCTAGATAATACCTTCTGTTCAAGTATGTGATTCCATGTCTTAAAATACAGAGATTATACCATGTGATTCTTTAATTATTAATTTGTTTGTTATAGTGTTAATAATACCCAGGCCAGAGATATTCAAACAATTCCATGCTGCCAGTATAAGCATAGGAAGTGATACATTCTCTAAATTGATTTATACCCAGAAACATAATGTGAGCAATTCAGTAAATCCCACTGGGAATTCTGAAGCTAAGCTTTTGATTGTCAATATGTCTTAGAAACAAGAGTTTTCATATCATCTATTAAAATATCATGTAAACATCAATGAAAGTAAATATTATACAGTCTAAATTTTTCCAAACAATAGAATGAGAGAATATTTTTGTAGACCTTTAAGTCATACTTCAATATTTTAGATAAGATTAAAATAGTCTATTTTAGCCAGAAATTTAAGCCACATAATTACAAATTTAGCACTCACATATTAAACAAAGGAAGTGGTTAATACATTTGCTGTTTTACATTAAACATGCAACTTAATTCAAGTAAATTGAAAAATGTACATTTTAATGTCATCAGTCAATTTTCCAGGTCATTTCATTTCTAACATCTTTCTTAGTGACATTTGTGTTACTCTGTCTTGTTTGTCATCTACACATTTATCTCAAAGGTGATATTCTGGCATAGGAGAGAGTGTGCAGACTGTGGGAGGAAACATATTTGAGTTTAAATCACAGACCTAACACTTAGTAATGGTGTTACCTTGAAATACAATGTTTCATAGGTGTTACCTAAGAAATACAATGTTACTCTATTTCATTGAGCTTCAGTTTCACATCTTGAAATGGGGATAAACTACCAATTTCCCAGATTTGTTGTGAGAATTACATGACATGAAACACTGACCACAGCATCTGACAAAACCTACATAAAGGTGCTCAGTAGGGGGAACCATAATTGTTACCTCCTTCACTGTGTCATGTCATGGGCGTTAAAGGATGATACCTTGTTCCTTGTTGGACCAGCTAAACTCATAGCATGTCACCTTTCTAAATAATGGTTAAATTGAATACAATTAAGCTTCTCAGCTGACAGAGTTAAAGTACTCTAGAGTTATATTGGTTAAGAAGAAAATGTTAGAACAAAATAGAGAAACACAAAAACACGAAAGAGAAAACACTACTTACCAATAATACCAAAAGTAAAAGTACAAACTTGCTAAAAGCAAAAGGAAGTAACATATATAAACTCAGGTATATCATTTTTGCCTACACATTTAACAGACATTTTCTAAAATTATAAAACACAAAATAAATGAAACTATGACAAAGTAGACACACACACAGTGCTAGGGACATATGGTCAAGCCTTCTAAAAAACAAGTTGAAGGTTTTATATATATATATATATATATATATATATACATAGAGAGAGAGAATGTGTATATATGTGTATATATAGAGAGAGAATGTGTGTGTATATATGTGTATATATAGAGGATGTGTGTGTATATATGCATATATACATAGAGAGAGAATGTGTGTGTATATATGTGTATATATAGAGAGAGAGAATGTGTGTATATATGTGTATATATAGAGAGAGGATGTGTGTGTATATATGTATATATATATAGAGAGAGAATGTGTGTGTGTATATATAGAGAGAGAGAATGTATGTATATATGTGTATATATAGAGGATGTGTGTGTATATATATAGAATGTGTGTGTACATATGTATACATATATACACACATATATATACATATATCACACACACAATATGACATAAATGCTGTGCTAGCAAATTTTATGTGTACTGTTTGAATCATGGGATGCCCAGATATCTGGTTAAACATTAATTCTGGGTGTGTCTGTGAGGATGTTTCTGGGAGATTAGCATTGAATTGGCAGACTAAATAAAGAGAATTGTCCTCCCCAATGTGGGCAGGCACTATCCAGTCCACTGCAGATCTGAATGGAACAAAAAGATAGAGGAAGGGAAGATTCTCTAGTTTTCTGCCTGACTGCTTGAGCTTCAGGTGCTGCCAGTGCTTCTAGTTTGCAGGCCCTCAGATTCAGACTGGAATTTACACCACTGACTCTCGGGCTCTCATGCTTTCAAAGTACAACACTGGCTTTTCTGCGTTTCCAGCTAGCAGATGGCAGATTGTGGCACTTCTCAGCTTCCATAAATCATGTGAACCAATACCTTATAATAAATCTCTGTGTGTGTGTGTGTGTGTGTGTGTGTGTGTGTGTGTGTGTGATTTGTGTGTGTGTCCCACTGGTTGCGCTTCTCTGGAGAAGCCTGACTGATACAAATATCTTCAGACTTTTGACCTATTATCTAACATTTTGAATTATTCTCTAAGCTTTTCTAACATTTTATTTCTAAAATTTGAAAACTGTTATATTAATGGAAAATCTCCCTCAATGCATAAATTGTCACACAAAGGTGATAATAACTTATGCCCAACAATGGAAGAATGGTACAGTAAATTTTTCATTATTCATTGATTATATATTTAATGAAACTTACATTTTTCAGAAGCCATTTTAAGGGCTACGAATACAATAGTAAATAAGGCAGAGAAGTCCCTGCTGTCATGGAACTTATATTTTCAAAGAGAAAAGATAGAAATTATATAAGTAAAATTATTTATTATAGGACTAATTACTGTGAATGTAATTATTTTGTGAAGGATAATATGATAGAAAGTTGGGGACAAGGAGGAAGACTAATATAGATTAAATGATTTAGGAAGGTTATGTTTGATTTGAGACTTGAATAACAGTCAACTAGGCTGCTCTGTGAAGTTCTCTAGAATACAACACAATCATAGAAAATCATAGAAAATATACAGAAAATGGCATAAGCACTTTTTAGAACTATAAAAAATTCATTCTTATGTAGAAAAAATGCATTAAAATGGCAAAAGTAGTGATATCAATATGATGAAGGTATGGGTAATTTTTCCTTTATTTACATTTTTTAGTCTAAAATTATATTATTTTATGTTAAAAATGGAAAAAATGAAAATATAATTAAGCATACCAAAGAAAAAGTCACAAATCTCATCAACAACACTTTTCATATCAGAGTACCTTGTATATAGCATTTTAGGCAAATACATATTTATTACACATTGTTTTTAATTATAGTATAGTAATTATAAATACATAAACAAATAATAAATAGAATCATCAAATATCTTATTAGTCATTATTAATCCTGTTAAGATGTTGTTAGCTGATTTTCCTTCTCTTGCTATTCTACTCCAAATTCCCACAATTATCCTCTAAAACACTAACAACAAATACATCATAATTTGCATCCTGTACTTGTGAATATTTCATCAACATCACCTTCTGGAAAGGCATCTTGCAAGAAAGCAATAAGTGCACTTTCAAGATGATCTCTCCCACACATATGTCATTTCACATCTACTCTCTATTCCTCTCTTGCTGCTACACCAAAAATATTGGAAATAAAAATATCAGATTCTTACGAACATGCATAAACCTACAGGGCATGTCTGTCAGAATATCCTCACGTATAGGTTACAGCCTGTCTAACGTCTGTTCAAAAAAAAAATGCAATTAGTTTCTGGAGGTCCAAAGTCAAATACATTGTCTTAGAAAGTAGTTTTAGAGCAAGCCACAAAGCTCTCTACTTGGTAATTTAAATGACTGACCGCTCAATTTATGAGCATTCCCAGCAATAAAATTCAGCCTGAACTTACTAATAGCACATTTTATATGACAACGATGACAATTACAACCTATAGTTACTGCAGTCGCCCTTTGGTCTAGGGAAAAATGACAGTATTAATTATACACACTTGCCATTTATCAGACTTAAGTTGGCAGGTGATTGAGCTCAGCACCATCTCTAACTTGACTTCTACATTTACCATTTTCTAATCCACTGAAACGAAGATAATTAGAATAGAGAAAAATGAGTGGCTCCTTCTTTCACTGCCTTTATCTCTGATTTCTTATACAGTATAGTTCTTTTTTTTTTTAATTTCTACAGCAACACAATTGTTTTATTGATATGCTTCATTTGAATGTTTACTGTATATTCAAATCTTGATATTAAATTACAACTTCCAGTTACAATGAACTGGAAGATAAAATCAATCAAAAAAGTAATTTGATAATATATGTTTATGATCCATTTATTGTGAAGCTCAGAAACAAAAGAAAAATCTGCCATTGTGGATACAATTATGTAATAGATCAGTAATCTTACCTGTTTTTAAAATATATAACTTTAATAAAATTGACTTGATTCTCTCTCTTAACTGAGAAAGTTACTGACAATTAAAATACCTAGTCATTCATAATGGAGGAATAGAAAGAGCTAAATGTGACTAATATAGAGACAGTGGAAAGGCAAATAAAGCTACTGAGATAGGAAGGAGTAGTAAATGTGAGGGCTCTTACATATGCCGTAGTACAGGATTAGAATCTCATTAAATGAAGAGTTAATAAAGGGCTTTAAATGAGGGGTGATAAAATCTTAGCAACTCTGCATTGAAAAAAAAAAAGAATCAAACTTTACACTCCCCAAATTCAGCTCAATTTCAGTAATATATGTAACATACCAAAATTTCCAAAGGGAATCCCCACATTCCAAAAACTTTCAAGTTTTATTAAAGAACAATAAAACATCCTCATATTTAAATAGTAGGATTTTATGCTTCTTTTTTTTTTATAGTATGTCATAATAATAAATTTTCATTTTTAATTTTCATGAATCTATAGTAGGTATATGTATTTATAGGGTACATGACATGTTCTTGAATCATATTAAATTTATGCCACTTTGTTTAAAATCTTGCCATTGTTTACTTTCTAAACTCCATAACAAAAGGTATAATATTTCATACTGTAGCAAGGTGTCCTGTAGCACACAAAATTTTGGCTGTATGCAACTTTCACATTTTTATTTTATAACTTATTTTTATGTTTGGTCTATTTGGGGATCTTGGGTCCTTGTTACATGATTTTCACTTCTACTTTATGTTACCAGTATATTGAGAACTAAAATTATTTTAAAACACGGAAAGCTATCTAAAAGGCTTGCTGTCTATTTTAGGACATAAAAATGTCTCTTGAACGGTTGTATTTTTATTCAAGCACGTCTTTATAATTTTTATTTAATCAGGTATCTGTCTTATTCAAGCTTCCTTTTTTTGGCCTCTATGGGCTTTTCAGATACACAGTATGCCATTTAAGATTTATGACGATTATAAAATCATGCTTATCTGCTTCTGTGTTCAGGGCTCTACAACCTCTTCTCAGAAGGCTTAAAGAATTCCTACTTACTGAACTCTTTTAGATGCATTCCTTCTGAATCTTCACAAAACTCTAAGAAATATTATCCCTGCTTTTGAATAAGAAAAAATTGGGGCTTAGAAAGTTTAAGCAACAGTGACACCTGAAATTAGTCCAGAATAAGCAACCAAAAGGTGTGGCTAGAGGTGTCATAAAGGTATAGATAAGCAGGGACCCTCAACCACTGCTATTTCTTTCTGACCCTGTAATTACCAGTCCAAAGCACCTGACAGGATAATACCAATCCAGAGAAAACCAAATAGGTAGGTCTTACAGATTTCCCATTTATAAAGGCAGTATGTTATACTGAAAAATTAATTATAAGTATAGTGGAGAGTATGGTCTGACTTATATCTGGAATCTAAAAAAGTTGAATGCAGAAACAGAGAATAGAATGCTGGTTTCCATGGGCTAGGCGGTTGGAAGAAATGAGGAGATGTTTGTCAAAGGACACTAACTTTCAGTTATGAGATGAATAAGCTCTAGGGATCTAATGTACAGCATGGTGACTACAGTTAATAACACTGTATTGCGTACTCGAAATTTGCTAAAAATGTTTAAATATTCTTAAATATTCTTACCACAAAAAAAGGGTAACCATGTGAGGTGATCAATGTGTTAACTTACCTGATTGTGGTAATAATTGTAATATATATATATATATATATATATATATATATATATACACACACACACCAAGTCATCACATTGTACACCTGACATACCATATTATTTGTCAATTATGCCTCAATAAAGCTGGAAGTTTTTTTTAAAATACATATATTCAAGAAAACTGGGACCAGAACTAATTCTATAGTTGCTTCCCACAAAATCTTTGGGAAGATTAACTTAATATCCTTGTACCTCAGTTTCTTCATTCACAAAAGTGATAGGATTGAATTATACATCCTATAAAGTCTCTTTATTTCTTCAGTTCTTAATGCGACTGTGAAATCCTATACTGAAGTATGCAGAAAGGGGATATTTTCTTAAAACTTTAATCAGTAGGAGCCCTACTCCTATGTTAAAGTTGCCAGTGGCAGAGTTTTCACAATGTAAGCAGCAGGACTCGATCTTAAATTTTTAATAGTGTGAAAACTGGCACGGGAGACAGAGGTGTGCCCTAAACCACTCCTGCATTGTTGAGGTAGGTTGAATCTGTTTGGGGGACTGGTCTTGTCCTTTTTCTGAGAAGGACTAATTAGTTGAGCATTTTGGTTAGGCATATGTAAGAAATTCCTTATACAATTTTTTGAGGAAAATTTAAACCAGTGAATATGGCAGACTGCCACAGTTACTACTTGAGATTGTCACTACGACAGATACTACTGTTACTACTTGAGACCATCATTACAAGACTGAACGAAGGGGGACTAACGCAGAAATGAAAACTTAACACAAAAGAAATTGTTTTAAAAAGGGGGGCCAGGGGAAGAAGAAGAGAGCTCCCTTCTTCTAGTGAGCAAAGGCAGCCGCCTGAGCCTCTACAGCCCCTTGTATTTATTGGATAGAAAGAGCAGGGAGGAGGAGGTAACTATTGGTCAGCTGCTTGATCGATCACAGGTTCACATGATTGCTAACAGGCTTCAGATTTGCCTAATCACAAGAAACACTTGTGCCTGGGTTGTGACTACCCTCAGCATTCCTTCTGGGCAGGAGATGCAGTTTGTCAGTTTGCCAGCGCCCTGCTTTCATGAGAACAGTTTTCTGTTTATTCATATAGCCTCCAGTGGTATACTGAGTTGATCACGACCCTCACTCTTTTGGCCTGCAGCAAGTGAAGTAGCTAACTGTAGATGCTTCAGATTAAGATTTTAGGTATATTCTGTTTAAACTCTGTACAGGCAAATCTTCTCTTTTGTATGACTGTGACTTTAGATAAAATTGTCCCTGAAAATATCGTTTGTTCTGGGAACAGACATGAATGCACAGAAGGCATGCATGTTGGTTCCCACATTCTGTGCATACATAAACAAGACACACATGCACAGAAGGCATCTTTACAGAAGAACATACCTTCCTTGAACATATGGGCTTTCAAGGAGTTGTGAGACCAGAGTCAGAAGGGACTTCAAGGCTTTTTTTTCTCTTCACTTCACATCAAAGGTAGAATAAAAGGCCAAGTTAGTGTATTCTGTTTAGTAGATTTTGAGTGAAGAGCACAACCTTTTAGAAGGTCCTATTGATTTTGCCTAGAACTTGGAGAACAGAGTCTAATATCTCTATAATTCCCTATGATAGGCAGAATAATGCCCCCCACAAAGATGTCTACTTCATAACTCCTGAAAGCTGTGACTGTTACATGGCAAAAGGGACTTAGCAGATATGATTAAGCTAAAAATCTTGAGTAGGAGAGATTATCCTTGCTCTGAGATCAAAAATAGCAGAGCATAGGTACCAAAGTGAGAAACTTCAAAATTAAGGTTTCCCCATCCTGGGAAAGATTCCTACCACATGGCATCCGGCCAGAGGTTAGGTCCCTTTTTTTTTTTTCTGTTCCACCAAGACTACAGTAAAGTTTTGGGAAACACCAAAGGGAATTGAGAAAGCAACAAACGCTGTAAATACATCGTGAGGTATACGAGAGTTATCCAGAGAAACAAAGACAATGGGATATATAGACATTGATATTGATACAGATAAAATGAGAAATTGGTTGGCATAATTATGAAGGTTGAGGAGCCCCACAATCTGGTTGTCTGAAAGCTGGAGACCCAGGAAAGTTTGGTGGTGTAGTTCAGTCCCAGTCCAAAGGCATGAGAATGAGGAGAGTTGATGGCATAAATCTGAGTTCAAGGAAGGAGAAGACCAATATCCCAACTCAAAAAGTCAGTCATAAAAGGGAAAATTTTCCCTTCCTCTGTCTCTTGGCAAACTTTTATTAGATCGGATGATGCCCACCCATGCTGGAGCAGATTCAATTAAATAGTTATTGTGTCACCTGGTGGAAGCATTCCTCCCTATGGAACCAAAACCTCTAGGCCAACAGAGCATATAACAAAGTCATGAGAAAACAGAAAGCAAAAAAGTTGCTAGTGGGTAACTAGGAATAATAGTGGTGCCACTCTCATTTCCACCCCTTGATGCCCGGTTCAGTGAATTCTAGTTAGGGGAGAAATTGTACCATACATTGGATCTTGATTCAGAGCATATATAGCCTACTGGAGAAGCTTGCCCCAGTCCTGCAAAATAACATCACCCAGTGGGTGCTGTGAGTCTTCAAAAGGCTTTCTACTGCTCTGTCAAATCAGCTGCTTTAGGATGGTGGGGAACATGTAAAGACCAGTGAATTCCAATAACAAATATATGGACTCAACATAGATGTCCATCAACAGTGAACTGGATAAAGAAAATGTGCTAATATGTTAGGGGTAGAAGGTATCCAATTCACATGGCACCAAAATGTTAGACGTGGTGAATATCAGAATGACTGATGGGTCTGAAGCAACCTCAATTCTTGCCTCCTCTGAAGAAACAATTCAATAAGGGGCATAAGGCAGAAAAAGAGACTGAGGCAAGTTTCAGAGCAGGAGTGGAAGTTTATTAAGAAGCTTTAGAGAAGGAAAGTACACTTGGAAGAGACCCAAGTGGGTGACTTGAAGGACAAGTGCCCCATTTAACCTTGATCCTAGGACTTTATATGCTGGCCCACTTCTGGCATCTCACGCCCCTTTCCCTTCATTCTTCTCTAAGAGTGACCACCCACAATGAGCTTGGGAGGTGAGCATGTGCAGTGTATTTAGGAAGCTGTACACATACCCAACTGAGGCTTTCTTCCCTTTTCTGGTGGAATGCCTCCAGTAGGTCATACTCTACCATTTTATCTCTTAATGTGCAAGCCTGAGCTCACTTGTCAAATTACTGAGATTTTTATTGAAAGTTGATTACCAATTTCAAGTGTTTTTATCTGTTTCAGAAATTGCTTCTCCCTGGTGCCTGCAATTAATTATCACTTTAGTGTGACAACTGTGGACCATCAGGAAATTGCATCTGCCTGGTGCTGGCTGCCTATTATCATTTTTAGAGAGGCAGTGTGATAATTGTCAAACCATCATTGGTCGCCTAACATTGATGGTCACCTGACATTCCTGTTGGGTGTGCAGGGTGCCCTCTGCTCATGCCTAACTACCTGTAACACATACACCATGGAATACTACCCAGTCATAAAAAAAGTGAGATCATATCCTTTGCAGCAACGATGGAGTTAGAGGCCATTATTGTAAGTAAGAAAATGCAAGAACAGAAAACCAAATACCAAATGTTATTACTTATAAGTGGGAGCTAAACACTGAAGACACAAAACACAATGAAGGGAACAATAAACACTAGTGCCTATTTGAGGGTAGAGAGTTGGAGGAAGGTAGGGATGGAAAAACTACCTTTCAGGTACTATGCTCACTACCTGGGTAATGAAATAATCTCTACACCAAATCCCCATAACACACAATTTACCCATGTTACAAACCTGCACATGTGCCCCCTGAACCTAAAATAAAAGTTGAAAAGAAAAAAAAAAAGACCAGTGAATTCCATAAGTATGGGTCCATTACCATACTTCTTTTGCTGTGAAGTTCCTTGATCAGAAGTAATGCGATGTGAAATAACCATGGAGGTAGATAAGGAATCTTTTTAAGTTCACAGATGGTGGTTCTGTTAGAAACATTGCATGCAAAAAAGGCAAGTCCATACCCAGAGTAAGTGTCTATTCCAGTAAGAACAAAAGTCTGCCCCTTCCATGGATAGAAGCAGTCCAATATAAACAATTCGTCATGAGATAGCTGGCTGATCACTGTGGAAATTGATGCCATACTGGAGACTCATTGTTGGTCTCCGCTGCTGGCAGATTCAGCACTCAGCCATGGTCATAGCCAAGTCAACCTTGGTTAGTGGAAGTCCAGGTTGCTGAGGCCGTACATAACCTCTGTCTCTGCCATCATGACCACTTTCTTCATAAGCTCATTGGGTAATGACACGGTGGCTTGGGAAACAGAGCAAAACCAATTGTCCTATACAAATAGGCATTCCATAAGTGAAAGAAAAGGACAATTATTATTACTTCTTTTTTTGCATAAAAGGGAAAGAGACAGTTGTCTCCTTCTTCTCCATAATGGCTTCCTTAAAAATATAATGAGCCTGAGTCTTTACCTCCACCCTTTGGTATCTAAATAAAATCTCTCTAGGAGCCAGATACTCCCATTTGTCTCAGGTTTTGTGACCTGACAACGTCTCCAAGGTCTGAAAGTTCATTTTTTTCTGAAATACAAATACCCATAAAGATAGCTTTTTAGTCCCTCAGGCACCCTGAGGATTAACCTAGGGACCAGTCCCAGCTGTAACTATTTAGCCTGCATAGAAGATATAAAAGGTATTATAATTTTTTGAGATCAGAGCAGTTAACTAGACAAATGGCTACAATCTAATTATTATGGTATATGAAAAGTAAAATACTTCTGAGGGACATGAACACAAATACTCCCTACTTATTTTATACACATTTCCATGTCTCAGGTAGCTAGGGTTTTTTGCAGAAGCACTGAGAAATCCAAGCAATTTTTTATTTTTCCACCATTTTCTACCCCTAGCCTGCATCTGTTTGTTTTTAATTTTAGGTTTGGGAGTATGTGTGAAGATTTGTCACATACATAAACACATGTCGGCGGTGGGGAGTTGTTGTACATATCATTACATCACCCAGGTACCCAGGTATTAAGCTCAGTACCCAATAGTTATTTTTTCTGCTAGTCTCCTCCTTCCTGCCACCCCCCGGCCCCAAGTAGACCCCAGTGTCTGTTATTTTCTTCTTGGTGTTCATAAGTTCTTATCATTTAGCTCTCACTTATAAGTGAGAACATGCAGTATTTGGTTTTCTGTTCCTATGTTAGTTTGCCAAGGATGATAGCTTCCAGCTCCATCCCTGTTTCCACAAAAGACATGATCTCATTCTTTTTTATGGCTGCATAATATTCCATGATGTATATGCACCACATTTTCTTTATCCAATCCGTCATTGATGGGCATTTAGGTTGATTCCATGTCTTTGCTATTGTGAACAGTGCTGAAATGAACATTCACATGCATATCTTTATGGCAGAATCCTAGACTGCATCTGAATCACCTGAAGGGCCTGTGAAAATTCAGACTGCTATTCCCTCCTGACCCCCAAGCACAAACTTCTAATTCAGCAATTCAGAGGTGGTGTCTGAGAACCTGTATTTCCACCAAGCTCTCAGGTCATGCTGATGCTGCTTGTCAAGGACCACACTTTGAAAACTACTTATTTATACCAGTCATAAGTGGCTTCAGGTTTCATGGAGACTGAAATTTATAAAAACTTAAGAGCCACATTTAGTTTATAAATGCAAGGCTAGATTTAGGAACCGAAATGGGCCTTTGCAAATCAGGTACCATAAAGCTTTGACTCCATTACTCCACAGTAAATGTTCTGACAATGATGAAATACAATAGAGGCTTTAAAAATTACCTAATTTACATAAATTTTGTAGATATACCTGAGATTCATTTTGACAACATAAATAGGAAATAATAACATTCATGAAATAACCACTCATTTACTTGAAGAATTTTAAAGAAATTATGAATGAGAATCATCTTGCTCTTTAGTAAACAAATGAGAGACAGATCTTTATCTTTGGTCAATGGAATTTTCCTGATTGTACAGTGTCTAAAAATATTTACACATCATTGGCTGGAAAACTATTACACTGGCATAGAAGAAATATCAGCAGCTAGTGGCTCAATTGAGGGCACTTGAATCTTATTCACAGTATGACCATGCCCAAAATATTGACCTTTTATGAAGCTATATTTCTTTTCACTATAACCAGGCTCAAATACTATTTTAGAATAACAACATTCAACAAGCGGTTTTGAGCTTTCAGTTTACCAGTGTGAGCTTCTAACATACCCCCATTTTCTAAAAATGAAAGATGAAAAAAAGCTGTATGTCATTTTCCCCAAAATGGTCTCTCTTACATAAGAAGAAAAGATCATAGAAATCATTCTTTAAATCATTTATGTTTTTAATTTTAGAGGCCAGTTAAAACAGAAAGAAAAATGTATTGAAATATGTACTGGTATTTATATTATTTTTAAAAGCATATTTAACATGTCTTCTAATAAATCCCAACCATTCTACAGAAGGTCTCAAAATGTCTTTATACTTGTAAAAATATCAGCTGAAAAATCAGCTTTTTTTTTTTTCCTGCCCAGGTCTCAGAAAAATGTCTTGCAAAAAACAAGCTAACCTCACCTCTTCAAATGTTTCCTGCCAACCCCATTGATTTCATGGAGGGCCCCTGGGTTCGGAGAATAAAAAGCAACCCAGATGGTTTTAAAAAGTATGGGATCTGACTTTAAAGTGTCTAAATTAGATGAGTGAGATGCATCCTACCCTCTACACTGAACAAAGAACAAATCAACACAACCATTTCATGAAACTTCAAAAGCCTGCAGCTTTCACTCAAGCTACAGGTTTTCCCACTACAGAATGAAAGCTACATGTGTCCAGTTATGGCAGAGTTCTAGAATAAGAAATGGACAGAAAAATCAATTTATTGAACACTCTGACCCAACTTTGAAGTGCAATGTAGCAAAAGCATTTTAGTACAAACCTATAACAAAGGTCTCTGATCAGCCTACAGAATGTCTTTGGGTGTAATAAGGAGCAAAACGGAAGGGGATCAGGAATTAGTGATTATCTGACTGGTTTGACCTACACAGATGTCCCAGATTTTAATCCAAGCCAGAGTTAAGCTGTTTGGGTTTTTATTTTTT
The DNA here is from genome assembly GCF_000001405.40 of Homo sapiens. Classification (NCBI taxonomy): domain Eukaryota; kingdom Metazoa; phylum Chordata; class Mammalia; order Primates; family Hominidae; genus Homo; species Homo sapiens. The sequence continues at coordinate 89,738,088 of NC_000007.14, forward strand.
ATCTGAAAAATTCTCCCCCATGAAAACAGAGGCAGATATATTCTTGTGATTATTTTCTGCCCACTAAGATTACGTGGTTTTAAAGTCCTTTCAAACAGTGATTGAACTGGTTGTCCCGGTAAACACACTCAGACTGTGAGCATCCCCATCAGACCTGAACTTCCTCAGAGGTTAAGATTATATTTTATTAATCTATCTAAAGGACTTCATATTTCCTGGCACACAAATGGGGGAGAGTAATTATTTAAAACATGAATAAGTAAATACATAAAATATTGACTAAATTAGAATGAGAAGAGTAACATGCATATAAAATTTTAAAATTCCAGAATAGGTTTTTTTTCAGAATGGTTGACAAATAAATGTTGTATCTATACACAGTGGAATATTATTCAGCCATTTAAAGAATGAAATCCTGTCATTTGCAACTACACAGATAGAACTGGAAGATATTATGTTAAATAAGCCAGGCACAGAAAAACAAATTTTGCATTTTCCCACTCATATGTAGGAGATAAGCTTTTTTATAAAATTTGAACTCAAGGAGGTGGAGAGTAGAATGATGGTTAGCAGGGGCTGGGAAGGAGGGCAGGGAGAAAGGGATAAAGTGGGGATACTTAATAAGTACAAAAATATAGTCAGACAGAATGAAAAAAATCTAGCATTCGATTGCACAATAGGGTGGCTATAGTTGATAACAATTTATTTTATATTTTAAAGTAACTAAAAGAGTGGAATTGGAATGTTCCTAACATGAAGAAATAATAAATGCTTGAGGCTTGAGGTGATGAATACCTCAATTACCCTTATTTGATCGTTAAACATTATATGGCTGTGTCAAAACATCACATGTAGCCCATATATATATATATATGTGTGTGTGTGTGTGTGTGTGTGTGTGTGTGTGTGTGTGTGTATATATATATATATATAACTATTACATGCCAGAATAATTAAAAAGTAAAATTAAAAAAAAATGAAACATAAGTTCCAGAACAGTGGAAGATGATCAGGATAAGTTCTCTAGTCTCTGATTTTTATTATTCTAATAATCAATCTGAGGCCCCTTCAATTGCAGTCATAGGCCCGGGAAAATGAAAAAGGGAGTAAGAGTTGATATGCAATTGGGATGTAACAAAACAAGTTCATTTGTTTGCATGTTGGTTAAAATCCTTGTAAGCATTTCTCAACCCCAGACATTTCTACGGATTTATCTTAAAGTGAGTTTGCTGTATACTTTTTACCTCAGTATCTTGAACCAAAAAATATTCTTAAAATGTCCCGGTTGGGACTGACAAACTCATTTTCCATTCAAAAGGTGTGAAGTTTTTATGTATGCACAGACGTATTTGCACATACATACACACACATACATACATACATACATGCATAGTTGAGGTTAAGAAACAAACATGAGAGAGAAAAGGGAATAGAAATAAACAAACAAATAGAATTTTAAAACAAGGGAATTTTGAAAGACTCACTGAGAAAAGTTTCCTTTATTATGCCTTAGATTAATAATAATAATAAGGTAGTTTATTCCAGGGTTTATAATATTATAAATTTCAGAAAAACCTGGGGCTCTATAGTTGGATCCGAAAAAGCATCCTTACTATAAAAAGCATAATCAGTGTTCACTGGAGTAGTCTGCTATTAAAAACAATTTGAGACTTGCATTTCTATGATCATTATGAAAAACAGACTAAAAACAAATATTAAGAAATACTTTATTGGTCTGACCTCAACTGATTTTCTTACTTGGTGCTTCTGAGAAGTATTTATTTATTTATTTAGCTATTTATTGCTATGTGTATTTGAACAAGGTGTCTCCAAATATTTACGAAGAAAAGCAATTTAGATTTGTTTTGTTTTATTCTTTGGTAAATATAGATGTATCTTCATAATGAAGTATTAGAATATTAGTTGGCATAAAGAAATGTAATCAGCATTAACTAAGGATTTGATATTCTCATTGCTACCTAACCAAATGTTTACTGTCTGACTTTGAACGTCTTGGTGTGTGTTGATTCAGTAAGATTCTAGTGCCTTGGCAAGTAGAGAACTGTTGGAAACCACACAGTCTGTATGTCAGTCTTTTACAATTGATACAAATAGGGCCTTCCTTACCCAAGAGAAAATTTAAGTATCATTTGTGATACTTTATGATGTTCTCATAATATGCATGCAGTACTTTAATGGGATTAATTTAAGGGATTTGTTTTTAGTTTTACACTTATCTTAAGTTGTGTTATAAAGTATGCATTTTCAGAGAGATAATCATAATTAAAAGTTTAAGGCATAATCATGATCAAAAACACTTTTGGTATAAGAAGAATACTGGATAAAAATTAAGAGAAAAAATATGAAACAGAAAAACTCTTTGTTTTCATAAACCCATACAGCTTTCTAAGGAGAGTTGACCTTAGTAATGAAAAGATTATTTTTTTGTTGAACACGGAGCTGGATAAGAATTTCATAGGTGGGATAAATTGTTCTCTATAATAAGAAAGCAGAATTTCCAATGCCCTGGAGAAATCCAGGAGGCAAAGATGCTGAAGCCCAGGGAGCCAAGATACCCTTCTCCCACATACTCTATCCCATCTCCTCCCCTAACACACCTGCCATATGATGTGTGGGAGTTAAAAGAGATTTTGAAGAGCAAAAGGATTTTAAGCCATTTTCTATGTGATACATGATATAAACCTCCTTGTCTATATCATCATCAGAAAATAACACATTTCGCAATTAATGTTCCCATTTTATTGGTTTCTCTGGGGGTATCCCAGAGTGGAATTGAGGTGGCCTTTGACCTCTAAGTTTTATGTGTATTACAGAAACTCTTACTTGATTTTTTATTAAAAGAAACTGGTTATAAATTACTAATAGCCATGTAACAGATGTAAACATGCTTGAGCCTTACCTGACATTTAATTGAATATTGTGAACATGTATAAACATACTCAAGTGTACACATACCAAATTTTTTAAAAGACCAATGCAAAGTGACAAACTTAATAATTCATATCACCATGCACAAGTTCAACTATATGCATAGGAAGGGCAGGAGAAATTTCATTCCAAGGTCTGGGCAATGTCAAAGTAACCTGTCAGAACTTCTTAATGCATTGATAGTTTCCAATGTGTAAAACTGTGATATATCAATTTTAGGTCTCTCTATTTTAAAATGATTTTTGAGACAATTCAACTATATTTGAAAATGAAACCAAGACTTTTGTGGAGTCCCTCAAACATGGACTTGCTAAGACCAGAATTTGAAACAACTTTGCTCAGCGATGCAGGCAATGAAGGGTATTGCAAGGCATGCTACCTTCTCAGAGAGTATAACCCACTGTGCTGTGGAAATCAGAGTCTTGCTTAAAAGCACAAACTCTGAAGCCAAACTGCCTGTATTTAAGTCTCAGTTCTGTCTCTTGCTAAACATGTGATCTTAGGCAAGTTTCTCAACTTCTTAGTGCTTCAATTTCCCCCTCTTTAAAATGAGGATAAAAATAGTACTTACGGCATAGGGTTGAAAGGATTCAATGAATTAACATGTGTAACGCATTTGGAGAAGAGCCTGGCACATTTTAAACACTAGATATACATTCTTACTTGATTAGTAAGTCATAGTCACTAGCTTCAAGCTCTACAGGGACACTTACTCCCTTTCCTCTCTCCTTGGCCTAGGACTAAGGTCTCCAGGGTAAACTCTTAATGTTTTTCAGTGCCATGGAGAGAAAGCAGTTATAGGGACTGCTACCACAAAAAGCAGAGGGCAAAAGACACTTTCAGAGAACTCATCAACCTTAATCTTATGTAATTTACATTTAAGCTATCATTTAGAGATAAAACTATTTTAAAAGACAAGCAAATGAAATTACAATTTAGTTCACAAAGCTACTCCAGAGTCAATTCATCCTACTAGAGAATTACTAAGTGCAGAACATCTTATTAGTATATCTCGTTTAATATGCATACAAAATTACATATTTTCTGCCTCTTTGGAAATAAGCTATCTTCCACCCAGAATTTATATGGGGTGAGCATGGGACCCAGACCTGACTAGTCAATAGTACAATCCCCCAGCCACAAAGGTAAGTTCAGAGTTGGGCATGACACAAGGCCTTTCAGAATCCTTTCTGGGGCCTTTGCAACCAGGGCTATCAAGAAATCTCATCTATCTGCTAATTGTCTACCTCTGTCCTAACCGTAGACTGGAAGGACTTGAAGCAACCAATCACCATCTTTTCCAGAAACCTTGAAAATGTTTCTTCAAAAGCTGAAATTATTTTTTAAAAATTCACTGATATATAAACAAGATGAAAATTATGATTGAGAATATGTGAAAATTTTATAGCATTTATGCAGAGGAATTGTGATACATGTTAGCAGTTTTCTCCACTCACAATGCAGTTTTAAAACTACTAATACAATATTCGGTCCAAAGCAAGCATCAAGAAATAGAAAATCACCATATGCAGATTTTTGATGAACATATAACACATTTAGTTTCCATTATATTGTGATGTGATGAGTTCATTATGTATTGGTGGGAAAGAAACTATAGCTAGAGACAAAAAATGGATCTCTTCAGTGAGTTGGAAATCTTACAAAAATGTACACTGAAACGTTGTTCTACCCTCCTGAAATTCATAGAAATTAGCCATTCAGAAAGGAAAGTACTGTGTAAATTTGTACCAATTCAAATAAAAGAGTAGATTTCATAAAACAATCAGGACAATTGACCTAGACTTTATAAAATAGCAACACTAAGGTCACTAAATATAAGAAACTTTATCTACATCTTTTTACTAGAAGCATTCTAGAGTTCTCTATTTCATCACTTTGTGCTTTTTAAAAAGATATTCTTCATCTGAAACTATTCCAATGAATATAATATTTTAAATATTCAAAGTAAAAATGATAATGCATATATATATATCAAAAATAATGGACTCAAGATGTATAAATGAATATACATAATATTAGAGAATGTATTTTACTCTCTCATTAAAAAAAGCTTTCAAAAAGTATCATAGATTATTACAGATTGAGCCCTATTTTCTACAGTTTTTATAATATAATTTTCTCTGATAATCTAAAGTTACTGTAAGATAACAGTATATTTAATTATTCGGGCAAAGACTGTTGGTACATCTTAGTCTGATAATTGATACTCTGTATTCAATGCCATATTCTTCCATTAAACTAGAACTTGCATCTCAAATCAAGAGATATGTACTGTAATTGCTAACACAGTCATCAACATTCCAGGATTTTGGAATTTTAGTACATTAGCTTTCACAGTGAATCTTCTTTATATTATGGTATAATCACTACAATAACTAAATGAACTTTTACTTTTGAGATTTTAAAAATCAAACATTTTCCAAACAAGTAGTAAGATGTGATGAATAAAACTAGCGTAAAACTTAGTAACTTGGTTACCAGTTATATCTTTTCCACTTATGAGCTTTACGAGCTCTGTGACTTTGGAGAACTACTTTAAATTCTCAGAACTTCCATTTGCTTCTGTGTAAAATGGGGCACCAATAATTACCCAGACAAACTCACAAAGTGGCTGAGGAAATCGCAGTGAGAAATTATATATATAAAAATACTTAGTACATCCAGTATTTCACATATGTGAGGCACCCACACAGTACTTGACACATAAGGAAGTTTCCACAAATGGGAGTACTATTGTGTCATTACACAGATGTAAGAGAGAAGCAGGCAGTGGAGGATGAGAGTTCCCAAAATTGCTATGGTCTTATACACTCTGTTTCACAAGTTGTGGTCTGTCCTGCCTCACAAAATTGGTCAAGGTTTCCCATATCATTACTGCTAATCCTGTATGGGAAAAGGTAGGAATATACCAGATGAAAAATACAATGTATACCTATCTTTGTTGTTTCCCATATGCTTCATTTGAGTTTGAGTACTGTAGCTCTTAACAGCTTATAAAAATGCCTTTTATTCCCCTTTTGCAGTGATAACATGAATAGTTTTAAGAGCTATAAAAAGTTTTAAATAAAACATGTAGGCAAAAATAAAAGGCATATTAGTTGAAAATTATTTTGTCACATATATTAAATATCATTACAAAACATTTCCATAATAGAAAAACAAGGTTATGTGGAACAGTGTTTTGTCCATCTAATTGTTACGTTTTCATAGTCTCTTTTTTATCCCTACGATATATTAAATCTCAATCCATGAGCCATCAGAAATTCCTTCAAATCCAAAGAACCTGAAGAGGAAAGGGAAATAACATGGTTAAATATTCGCAGCCTTATATCATTTTCTCTTGGTTGAATGTTCTCGTCTAACAAACAGAAGCTCACTGAGGGCAACCTTGGTATCTAAGCCTAGCACAACACCTTGCAAATAGAAGGTGTTACTATTTGTTGATAAATAGAGTAAAAGTTTAGGTTGTTATTTGTTTTTGTTTTCATGGAGGTTTTATTGTTTTATTTTTAATTTATACAGCAGAGAATACAACTCATTATTGACCAGATGAACAGGAAAATCATGTTTCTTCTGGAAAACCACACCAGTGCTACAGTGAGGCAAATGTGTGTGAAGTAATGGAAAAAACACTAACTAGTGTCCAAAAATCTGGGGTTTTGTGCTCATTCTCAATTGATGTGTCTCCTCAGGCAAGTCACTTAGCTTCTGCATAGATCTCTATTTTATCACCTATAAAGTGAGGTTAAAGCCTTCCTTATCTACCCCACAGGGCTATTGCATGTAGGACATAATTGAGATCATGTATGTTAAAGGACTTTATAAACTACAAAGTGCAGTGACAAATGGAAATGAGTCTAAATCTTCATCTGCTCCCTGATTTAGAACAAACATGATTTGTCACAAGCAAAGGTCTATTATCAGGCAAAATACATTTTATAGATTGGGACACACCTCCCTCTTTTAAGTCAGTGGAGTAGAGGTTATACAGACTTTCTTACCATATCCTAAGACACTGTAGCACCCAGAAACTTGATTTATAATTCTATGTAGTAATGGAGTTACGTGATCTCATATTACTCAGAACTGCAATAAGAGTTTAGGGTGCATCATTTCCTGGTATCCTCTCAATTTATATTTATGTACTCTTCTTTGTAAACAGAGAAATGCCAGCCAAGTTAAAGTAAATTGGGGCCCGGCACGGTGGCTCATGCCTGTAATCCCAGCACTTTGGGAGGCTGAGTCGGCCAGATCACCAGAGGTCAGGAGTTCAAGACCAGCGTGGCCAACGTGGCAAAAACCCAGCTCTACTAAAAGTATAAAAATAAGCCATGCATGGTGGCAGGCGCCTCTAATCCCAGCTACTCAGGAGGCTGAGGCAGGAGAATTGCTTGAACCCGGGAGGTGGAGGTTGCAGTGAGCTGAGATTGCACCACTGCACTCCAGCCTGGGGGACAGAGTGAGACTCTGTCTCTAAATAAATAAAAATAAAGTAAATTGGAACCGTAAGCAAATGTTGGTCTGAATATGCTGCTACAATGTTGAGGGAGAAGAGTTCCAGGGAGCCGATTTTGTTGGCTTTGTAATGCAGCACCCATCATCCTGCTTCTCTGTACCCTCTCATTCTTATGGCTTTCCCCTCAAACATCTGGGAAGCAGCAAGTAACAATGCCCCCGACAGTCAGTTTGAGTTGATGGAGCTCTCTCAAGGACCTGCTTGCTCATATAAGAGTTCTCAGGCAGTTCCTCTGGAAGTTTCCCAAGAAGATATGCATTTCACATCTACTTACTGTCTGTCTGCTAGATGTCAAGCACTGTACTAAATGTGAGAAGACAGACATAGAATGTGACACAGCATATGCTCAGCTGACCAGTTTACTATAACGTGAAATAATAATCACGGTTAATACTTACTAAGCACCTATTAAGCCAGTCATTTTGTTAAAGGTAGTTAGCTAGGCATGAGCAGGGCAGGAGAGGGCTCTCCCCAAACCAATAAAAATGTGGGGCGATGGTTTGGCAATTTTCGCATTGCCTCTCTAAAAATAATAATTCGGCGGCCGGGCGCGGTGGCTCATGCCTGTAATCCCAGCACTTTGGGAGGCCGAGGCGGGCGGATCACAAGGTCAGGGGATCGAGACCACGGTGAAACCCCGTCTCTACTAAAAATACAAAAAAAAAATTAGCCGGGCGCGGTGGCGGGCGCCTGTAATCCCAGCTACTCAGGAGGCTGAGGCAGGAGAATGGCGTGAACCCGGGAGGCTGAGCTTGCAGTGAGCCGAGACCCTGCCACTGCACTCCAGCCTGGGCGACAGAGTGAGACTTCCTCTCAAATAATAATAATAATAATAATTCGGCACCCAGGGAGAGACAAGCTCCTGACGGTCCACACCTGTTAACATTAGAAGTGTTCATTGAATACAGGCCCCCCAGGGAAGAAGCTTCTTCTTGGGCATGCGTGTTAAGAGACATAATGACCAAGTATGACGTTCCAGGGGCACGCGCCACTGGAAAAAGGAAAAAAAAGCCTCAGATGGGCATACCTGTAACTCCCTAAATACACACGTGCTGAATTCCAAAGGGTAAAGAAAGCACTGTCCATGCGGGAAGCCCACCCTAAGGGAAGAATCATGGGAAAGAGGCGGCCTATAAAGTCTTAGGATCAAGGTTAAAGGCTCTCTTTTTCTTTGCCCTTTTTTGCTATCTTTTTTCTCTCTTTGATCTTCAGGGCGCCCACTTGGACCTCTTATAAGAGCTCTTTTCTTTCTTTCCTGTTCTGAAGTATTTTTTAATAAACTTCCACTCCTGCTCTGAAACTTGCCTCTGTCTGAAACTTGCCTCAGTCTCTTTTTCTGCAGAATGTTCCTCAGTTGAATTATTTCTTCTTGAGGAGGCAAGAACTGAAGTTGCTACAGACTCATACAAATAGGCCACCAGTAACTCTGGGTAACTTGGATCTCTTCCACCAGCAATAATTTTACCAAGATCTTTACATGCATTAAATTTTTCAATCCTTGCAATAATCTGATGAAGTAGATACTGTTATGATTCCCATCTTACAAATGAGAAAAACAAGGAGCAGAGGTGTAACTACAAAGTTTTCCATGTTTAGAAGGGGTTGGAGCTGTAATTTAAACCAGAGTATATACATTCTTAAACTCAGAAGCCTATGGAGTGTAACTATCTCTCCCTTCAGGCAATGTCCAACTTTGGTCCTCAAGGGAATCTGGCCACAGAATACAATTCATCTACATGACCTCCATGGAACACAAGGGGATATATGCCAATCAAAAGAAAGGGAAGTAACATTTTGAGTACCTATTGAGAGCTGTGGGTAAAACAACGGTCCAGGTTTGATATCATTTTCTCTATTTTACAAATCAATGAGCAGGGGCTCAGACAAATTGGCCAATCTAATTCTAACAATCAGGTCTCTTACATCACAATGTGATGACAACTTCTTTCAAAACCCCACATCAGTCATAAACAATGATGTAAATAAAACTCTAATGAGAAAACTCCAGTTACCCATCGAAAAGAATTAATTATATTCCTCAAATTGCCGCTTTTACAGCAGAGCTAAAAGTATGTTTTAGAAATGAATTGAGTAGACATGCACTTGCTCCTTGGCACTTGAGGAACAAAATATGTCACAAATGAGGGGCAAGTGAAAACTTTGATTTTAGTCATTTCTATAGCTTTTCTATTTTCTGAGCGTAAACCTTCCCGAGGACTCTGGATATGCTTAAATAAGTCTACTAGTCTCTAGTACTGCCACTTGCTCATTCTCTGTGTATTCTCGGGAGTGTGCCAAGCTTCAGCAAAGAAGCAGTCAAGCTTCCAAGACAAACTACTGCATACCAAAGACACTAATGCCCAATCTCTACAGGCTCTATACCACTCAGGGGAACAGAAAGAGGCAGAATCCTACCCAAATTGTTCTATTAAAAAGGTTTTAATGAAGGATATTTACAAAAGTGTGGCCAAGATTAAAGAAACCCACAAGAGAAACCCAGAAACTTGCAGCAGAAGAAAGAAAGCAATACCATCCATTCCCGAGCCTAAAGGAGCAAGAATAAGAAATCGTTTTACATTAATAGGATCCCAGTGAGAGCTGGATCATGGAGGAAGGGCCCCAGTCAGACTGATAGAAGGACACAACCACAGTCAGAGACATAGAACCAAAGAGAAAGAGAGCAAGGAAAAATACATTTCTTCTCTCCTTTCCAGTCCTCTCACCTGCCATTGCCTTCCATTGGCTAAACAATTAGCCAGCTGGCAATAGAACCTGAGGAGAACATAAAATGTATAGGGTGGGAGAGCTGTTGGGGGTAAACAGCATGGCTCCCTAAAAAGAGCCTGGTTATTAGAACACTCATAACCCAAATCCTGTTCCTTTAGTCTCAGGGAAATTAATCTCATCCTCTGTAGTCTTCAGCTCCACACTGAAAATTCCATCTTTCTGACCTACAGGGCGAAGCTAGCCTCTACCTTTAGGATCAATGTCTCTCTTCACCAAGAAGACTACCTCCTTGGTGGCTCTTAAAACAAAAATAAGTTGTAAATTCCCTGTGGCACAAGGAATCCCAGAATAGAAATACCTATTCTTTTATCTTAGTGAGTAAGTATACAAGTGTGAGTGTGTTTAGATTGAGATGTGAATTAAAATTTTTTTAAATTTTCCTAGAGAAGTGAGAATAAGACAAATTGATATCTCTCAATATGTTAAAATTGTCCTGCAGAAGAAGTTTCACAGAGGACCCTATTTACATAAGGATAAACAGTTAAACCTATACATGAAGTTAGAAACCCATATGGTAGAATATAAAGAAACACACAAGGGAATGACTACACAGTTCATATGCTCCACTAGCTTCCTGAAGTTGTTAAAACATGAAAAGCCGATTCCTAGCACTCTCAGGCAAATGTCTTACATGGAGAGTTTTGTTGATTGACTTTTTTGAAATACTTACATTGTCCTGCAGAGTTGGTAACAACTTATCATTTTATGTGTTTTATTGTTTGATCAATTGGCTTTTACCAGTATTTTGAAAACTATCAAACTCTGATCCAAGGAATTTTAAAATGTTTTTTCCTTCTTATTCTCTATTCTCTGTAAAAATACACACACAGCTGAGATACTATGGTCAAAGCATAACTGGCATTTGTGACTAAAGTACTGAATCCAAATCAGGAGTGAGTGCAAGAGAAAAAAACAAAGTTTCCATGGGCTGTCACCAATATCAGGGCTGAATTCTCCAGAATTTTAAGAATTAATGACCTTGAATCATTGCAAGAGTTTTATTTTCAAATAGATACTTAAGACTTAAAATTATAGATTATGTTTCTATGAATAAAAAGTGACCTTTTATGGCTTCTTTTCCAAAACTTCACTACTTTATTATTCCAGTGGTCTCTCACCCCATGAGTAAAAAGTCTTTAACTGTGTGCTGGCATTATATTTATAAATGATTTATGAGTGATTAACATGCATAATCATTTGCTAATAATATACAAAGGAAAAATATTAATTTAGGGTGGGAGCTATCATACACACATTCTAGTGATTTTTAAATCTACATATAAAATAATGTTTCTTACTAATTTTAATTAGGAGGGAGGCAAGTATGTCAAATCCTATGAGATCGCTATTTATTTATCTCTTAATAAGAAGCTGCCCAATAGCTTATACCACAATTGAATTTGTGAGCTCTGCCTTTTTTTCACGTTTTTGTTTACTTATGTTTCATTGCATTCTTTTTTTTTCTGTATAGGAATATTTTCAAGTCATTTGCCCATACCTGTGAAGGTTAATTTAGTTAGTGATATGCAATGATTTGTAAGTCCACTCAGTCAGGCACATATGAGTTTTAATAGATCACCAAATATTCACTGACTGATATGAATATCACTACCTACCACAAACTCCCAAGCACACAAACCAAAAAAAAAAGAGAGAGAGCTTTTGTCATATTTCAAATATTAACATATTTTTAAGTGTATATATATAGTTGATTCTTATTATTTATGGTAATTATGTCTTGTAAAGTCTGAATACTACTTCAGCAAATACTGAACCATTGCTCTTATGGGAAATGAAAGGTTAGGTTCCTGTAAGTCTCTGTTTACAGTTTCACCAACTAATCAATACATAACCTTGTTTTATGTGTGTTTCATTTAAAGACACCTTATTTACTATATATTGTTGATTCATTAACAACTGAATTAATGGCCAACTCATTGAATCCATGACAACACACCTGAAAGAAGCTTATCTAACAAACAACAAATATTTTCTCTGTAAGGCACACCACAGCCTGCTTACACTTAGGAACAACACACAGAACTTCAGCTTTTACATTCAGGGGCCATTTTGAACAGCAATAACCAAGAAAAAGCACAAAAGTACAAAAACATGGCACGAAAAAGACTGCATAAAGTACATTTGCTGATAGTATGAGAGCTGAAATGAGAAGGCTGAGCATTGCGTTGTTTGAATTTAGCTGGGAATGGACAAGTCAGGCAACTCAAAATTTTTGTGACTCTGTACATGTCTGCAAATAACCACAAAAGCACTTCAAGTGTTGATTATGGGGTTACAAATAAGAAGATATGATTCTATACCTAGAAAATCCTATAGTCTCTGCCCGAAAGCTCCTAGACCTTATAAATGAATTCGGCTAAGTCTCAGGATACAAAATCAATGTAAAAAATCAGTAGCATTTCTATACAACAACAACATCCAAACTGACAGCTAAATCAGGAACACAATCCCATTCACAATATCCACAAAAAGAATAAACTACCTAGGAATACACTTAACTAGGGAGGTGAAATAGCTCTACAATGAGAATTACAAAACACTGCTCAAAGAAATCAGAGATGACACAAACAAATGAAAAAACATTCCATGCTCATGGAAAGGAAAAATTAATATTCCTAAAATGGCCATATCACCCAAAGCAACTTATAGATTCAATGCTATTCCTATCAAACTACCAGTGGCATTCTTCACAGAATTAGGAAAAGAACCATTTCAAATTCATATAGAACCAAAAAAGAGCTTGAACAGACAAGGCAGCAATCCTCAGCATCACATTACCTGACTTCAAACTATACTACAATGCTACAGTATCCAAAACAGCATGGCATTGGTACAAAAACAGAGACATGTAGGCCAACGGAACAGAATAGAGAGCCCAGAAATAAAACTACACACCTACAACCATCTGACCTTGACAAAGTAAAAAAAAAAAAAAAAAAAAAAAAAAAAAAAAAAAAAATGAGCAATGGGGAAAAGGACTCCCTATTTGATAAATGGTGCTGGAATAACTGGCTAGCCATAAGCAGAAGGTTGAAACTGGATCCCTTCCCTACACATATGCAAACTCAATGCAAGATGAATTAAAGACTTAAATACAAAACCTAAAACTATATAAACCCTAGAAGATAACCTAGGAAATGTCATTCTGACATAGGACCTGACAATGATTTAATGACAAACACACCAAAAACAACTGAAACTTAATTTGACAAATGGGACCTAATTAAACTAATGAAAGAACTACTACACAGCAAAAGAAACTAACAACAGAGTAAACACACAACTTACAGAATGGGAGAAAATATTTGTAAACTATGCATATGACAAAGGTCTAATATCCAGAATCTATAAGGAATTTAGTCAATTCAACAAGCGAGAAACAAACAACTTCATTAAAAAGTGGACAAAGGACATGAATAGACGCTTTCAAAAGAAGACATACATGTAGCCAACAAGCATTAAAAAATGCTCAATATCACTAATCATTACAGAAACACAAATCAAAACCACAATGAGAAACCATCTCATACAAGTCAGAATGGCCATCATTAAAAAGTCAAAAAATAACAGATGCTGGTTAGGTTGCAGAGAAAAGGGAATGCTTATATACTGCTGATTGGAATGTAAATTAGTTCAGCCACTGTAGGAAGCAGTTTGGTGATTTCTCAAAGAACTCCCAGAAGAATTACCATTCGACCCATCAATCCTATTATTGGGTATATAGCCAAAGGAATATAAACCATTCTACCCTAAAGACACACACATGTATGTTTATTGCAGCACTATTCACAAGAGTAAAAATATGGAATCAACCTAAATGCCATCACTGATATACTGAATAAAGAAAATATGGTACATATACACCACAGAATACTATGCATCCATAAAAAAAAAAGAATGAGATCTTGTCCTTTGCGACAACATGGATAGAGCTGGAGATCATTATCCTAAGTGAACTAACATGAACAGAAACCAAATACTGCATGTCCTTACTTGTAAGTGGGAACTAAACTTTGAGTACATATTAAAACAAAGAAGGGAATAATAGACCCAGGTCCTATTTGAAGGTGGAGGGAGGGAAGAGGGAAAGGATGGAAATACTACCAATCAGGTACTATGCTTATTACCTGGGTGGTGAAATAATCTGTACACCAAACCTCTGTGATATGCAATTTCACATATATGTAGCCAACAAGCAACAAGTTCCATTGGTCTGTGTCTCCGTTTTTGTACCAGTGCCTTCACATGTACCCCTGAACCTAATGTAAAAGTTTTTTTTTATATTTTTTTAATTTAGCTGGTAGGTAAATCCCCAAATACAGAATCCATACATGATGACAACTGAATATATATATTGAACTTTTATCAAGGCTAATATAATTGCAGTTCACTTTGAAAACCCCTATACTACTCTATTAGTCTCCAACAGGTGTGAATGAAAAAAAAAAAAACCTGGATAGTTGCTGCAAAACATACCTCCCTCTCTCTTTCCCCTCCATATATCATCTGATTACTCACATTACTGTGCATAGTAGGGTTTGTTATTTCACGTAGAAAAAAAAAAAGAAAATTTGATTAATTGGGGACTGCAGAAGGGATAGTGGATAGAGGTTCAATGGATTATATAAAATTGTTTTCACATAGTTCTCCCACGTTTAGAAGAGAGTGATTTCTGAGAGTGATGGCAAAAGTATTTGCTAGGACGGACTGTGCAATGAGACATGCTGGGCAAAGAATGAAGGCTGGAAGCACAGAGGAGCTTTCCAGAGAGATTTTGTCAACTCTGCGTACAGAGCCAAGTGATAAAAATGGTGTAACATGGCCAGGCGCAGTGGCTCACACCTGTAATCCCAACACTTTGGGAGGCAGAGGCAGGCAGATCATGAGATCAGGAGACAGAGACCGTGCTGGCTAATGTGGTGAAACCCCGTCTCCACTGAAAATACAAAAAATTAGCCGGGCACGGTGGCACATACCTGTAATCCCAGCTACTTGGGAGCCTGAGGCAAGGAGAATCGCTTGAACCTGGGAGGCGGAGGTTGCAGTGAGTAGAGATCAAGATGGTGCCACCGCACTCCAGCCTGGTCGACAGAGTGAGACTCCGTCTCAAAAATAAAAGAAAAAAAGAAAAGGTGTAACATTGGAGAAAAGGTCGTTTTTGCCTGTTCCATCTATTTCTGCTGAAACTCAGCAGAACTTCCACACTCTGAAGACTGGATGTTTGGGAGCATCTGGAATAAGCACCTTGGAATGAACATTGGCTTTGTCGATGCAGACAGGGAGAGCAGGGAAGCTACCCCGAGTCTTCAGTGAGATGAGTGGGAGATAGAACAAGAGCAGAAAAGCAGGTAGGAGGCAAAGTGGTAAATCTTGGTTTTCCAAATTCATACCTAGACAGGTAATCCTTTGAGGACACCCATAAATAATTGTAAACACATTGAAGTTGATGATTTTGTGACAACCAGGGTAGTGGGAGTTTGTGCTATCATTATTTGGTCTTTCAAGTAAATATAGGGTTTGTCGTATTCAGAATACACAGAGAAGTTTGTCTCTGATTTGTCATGGAGTTGGATCAGGACTGAGAACAGGTCTTTAGAGTTGCCAAAGAGAATCTCATGTTAAATATTGAAAAAGTTCTTTTGATGGATGTTAGATCAGGCAGTAAAAGTCACACTGCTGAGAAAAATGAAGCTTGCAAATGACATCATTTCAAGAAATTTGGTAAAGCCAAGAAAGACACATCTATTGACTAACGAGAATTCATACTCAGAAGGAAAATTGTACAAATTAAAATTAGGACATTCTAACCATGTCTCTGAATGACAAACAGCAAGTTGTTGATAGATAAGCTGAGGTTAAAAATGTTAGGAAAACAAAATAAAGGAAATAATTAACAGATTGCCTTATATTTTAAGTATAAGTGTGTGTGTATTATATATATTTATATTTTTGCCATGTTATTTGTTTTTTCCTTCCCCTCCCCCACAGCTTTACAGTTATAATTGACAAATAAAGATTATATATATTTACATATACAAAGTGATATTTTGATTTACATGTATACATTGTGAAATGATTAAAATAAGTGAATTAATATATTCATTTTCTCTCATACTTATCAATTTTTTTGCAGTGAGACCACTTAAGATCTACTCTTTTACCAATTTTCAAGTATATAATTAATACATTAATGCTAATTATAGTTACCATGCTATACAATAGATCTCCAGAATTTATTTAAAAAATGGAATGCTTCACGAATTTGAATGTCATCCTTGTTCAGGGGCCATGCTAAACTTCTCTGTATCATTCCAGCTTTAGTATATGCGCTACCAAGGCAAGCACAAGTATATATATTTTAAACTTGGTAAAATTTCACAAGGACGGATCATTTATGTATTCACTCATTCAAACAACATTCACAGGGCACTAATCTGTGCTAGACATAGTGATACCAAAGTGAATGAAAGAGACAGAATCCCCACCCCATTAGAGTTAACAGGTCACAGAGCAATAAAGAGCTATGTGCAATGCAGTGTAAAAAGTGTTGGGATGTGGAAAATACCAGGCCTTAAAGCAAATAGGAAACATGCCTATCTCATCCTGGAGAATCAAGGAAAGCATCATGTAGGAAGAAACATGTGACTGGACAAAGGTAGGGCTGATCCAGGCATGAAGAACGGAAAAGAGGACTCTGGATAGCAAACATACAGTAGCTTGGAGGGGTGAGGCCAATGTGTACAAGAATAGCAGGACAGTTGTTGTTTCTGAGAGGAAGAGTTCTAGGATTGAATGATAAGAGATGAGTTGGAAAAGAAGCAGAGGGCATGCAAGGCCTTATAAACTATCTTAAGGTATCTGGACATCATTCAAAATGCAGTGAGGAGCTCCCAATAGCTTTTAAGTAGGGAAATAACATAATCAGATTTGGGTTTTAGAAAGGTCACTGTCTGCAACTTCATCACTGCAGTTTTCCATTTAGGAATCTTTGGTGAAAGTGATCCTTCATTTGAAAGCTCTACATGTCAGAAGCATATTCTGGCTCAGTGTGTATTTTGCTTAGGGACTCCTCATCATCAACCCATTAAGAGTGGACTAAAGAAACAAAGCCAAGGAGACACTAGTGATTAACAAGAGCCACACTTAAATTCCCAAGGTCCTTAAATACTACAGGAGAATCAAATGTGAATAAATTTTCCTGATAGATTGCTACAGTAAAGCATTTTTTTACGTTCTTACAGCAGCATGATGCCAAGTTTTGCAAATTTCCATTATATGACCCTGATCACAAAGTCGTCCTTGAGAATGAAACAATACAGAAAAGGCAAAATTTTATAATACATTGGCCATAAATGGATCTTAAAAAGAAAAATAACAATGTCTTTTTTGAGTTAAGTCTTTAGGACATTTTCTAATCCTGGGGCACTGATCGAGATCCTTAGATGTAGTTTCCTATTGTCTTGACTATGTAGTCCTCCATGTCCTGCTAATATTTTTTTCTTATTAACTGTTTGATACATGGAAATCAATACGGGCAACTCACAGACCTTCAGAAAGCCAAAACTACTTGCTGGGATTTTTTGTAACTATTCAAAATTTTTCATTATTCCTACAGTCCTCCTCTAGAAAGTTTCTTGAAAGGTTTTGTTACTTAGGGAGCTGCGTATGGACAGGTACATTTTACGAGACTTTGTTATCTCATTTACATCACAATTATCTCCCTGGTACATTCTCTTGTCCCTCCCTTTCCCCACTTTGTCCCCTCCAATACACACACAAAAACCAATTTTACAGAGAACTCACAAAGAGCTTAGAATAAAAGTATTTCTGCTACATTTCATTTTAAATCATCTGATTGAAACAGAGAATAGTAATGAAGTTATCCTTATAAAACATAATATTTCTTCTACTTCTGTATTGAAGGTTGAGAGCCACAGATATATAAGTAACCAATAAAAATTTGGACAGGAAAATGATGGGTTAGCAACTTCCTTAGGCTGTGTTCTGGAAATGTTTACATATATACACATATACATACATACATATACACATATACATATACATATGCATACACACATATACATATATACATACACATATACACATAACACACATATATGTACTACATATATTACATATACATATCACATATATGTGTATATATGTATGTATAAATCTATATGTATGTAGGTATATACATATATACACACATCTACTTTTTCTAATTTCCTGACCGTTCCATTGAATGCTTCACATGTTCTTACCTTAATCTTTAGGCCTAATTTTGATAATTGTCATATTATGAATATATGTATTTTTTTGCGTTAGGCCTGGAGACTTTTAGTTATATGTATTATCTATAGAGAGACTGACCTAATTGTACTTCAACTTCAATAACCATTGCATTTCCCTAAGTAGATGTAAGCAACATTTTAAAAGGGCCCCTTTATCTTAAAGAAGTAGATGAAACGCTGGTAACTGTGTAATAAAATTTAAATAACCTCTATGGAGGCATTATTTTGTTACATACCATTTTGAGTTTTAATTGAAGAAAACAGCTGACTAAATTGTTGCCAAAAACATTAATGGGACTATTGTTGTTTGATGAAATTTCATTCGTGTGTGTGTGTGTGTGTGTGTGTGTGTGTGTTACCTACAATGTACTTGTTTTCCTCTTTTTCTTCTGTAAAACATGACTGAGAACACATAAAATCAGATTGGAATAATAATATTAATAACAATAATAATAGTTACCATATATTTGATGCCTACCATGTGTCAATTCATTCTCCACCTAATTTTCATAAAAATCCAAACTCCTTTTCATACAGGGTCACACCTAATCCGACCCTAACACCCTCACTTTTTGACATACTCTCAGGCCTTGAAGATTCTGTTTTCCTGGTAAAGGACACCAATTTTTTAAGGGGCTAAAGGCAGAGGTTAAAGGTGAAAAGCTGTTTCTAATCTGTTAGGTCTCGACTTAAAGGATGGCTAATCTAATCATCCCACTTGACATAGGGATTTATAGTTGCCATTTATCTCAAGACCCTGTGTTTTTCTTTTAATTTATAGCTATTAAAAATTAATGATTGTGATATTTGCACCTTTACTTTTTTTTTCCTGTTTCCAGCCAGACTCTAAGCTCCACTACAGTATCAAAGTGCCCAGCTTCATGTGTGGCACATTAGTTAAGGGCTCAATTACATCTGCTGAGTGTATAAAAGGGCCCTGTTCTGGGCACCTTTCACATAGTACACTGTCTGCAGATGAGAAAACTGAAGCACAGAGGAGTATATTATATGCATTATATTCTGGTTAATGGGCAACAGAGGTGCTATGAGGGGACCACAGGTCTCTACCCCAAGGCCTTTGCTCCTCTGACTCCACCCAACCACCTCCAAGAATCAAGGCCTGATAATGACAGCCAGTGGAAATATGGTTTGGCAAGAATACTCTACAGTTGGATTTTGAACTCTGCTAACTTGCCAATCACTATTGTGTACTGAGAATTTTCATTGGTCTTTCATTGTACATCCTGATCTATAATCAGACATGGAAAGAGAAGGGTTCTTGAGCATCTCTTTACCCAGTTTTGAGCTGGGACAATTCCTGACAGTTATTGACCTCCCTTGGATTTTTTGTTCTGTACTAAGGCAGAGGCAGCTATGAGGACAGCCAAGCCTTTGATTTGAGTCATACCCAGCTATCAGGAAGCAGATGGATAGGGAACACATCCAAACTGCTATGCTTTGTCATGACTTGATTTAAGCAATAACTATTGGCTTATTTACCAATTTCCAAACAGTGTTTATTCAAGGAACTACATTTTCTCATATTCTTTCTCAACTTCACATTTCTTCCTTCCCTAATACTTAATGCCTGGTCCATGACCATTATCAAAAGCAAATACAGCCCTGTAAGTACAACGTGACAAGGCAGGATTCAAATTGGCTTACTAACAATACTTAATTCTATGGATTAAAGACATAATGAAATGATATTTGACAAACATGTATTGAGTTATTCTCAAGGTTACCTATGTCAAAGGAAACAAGAGCTGGACAGTAGTTAAGGGCTGCACTCAGGAACAACTGCAATGGGTTGAGGGAGACTTCAGCAAAGAACTAGTCTCCATTCCAAACACAGCAAAGACAAGTGGGGCTTTATAGTCAAGGAGCAGGCTGAGGATCAGCAGATAGAAAATTACTAAGAGAAAATATCCAGGCCAGGGGTATTTTTGGCTAAACCTAGTTGACAAGATTCTTGCTGAAGGTAGGCCTGGGTGATAAGATATTAAGCATGGGGAATGAGGATGTTGATCAGATATTGAGGATAGGCAATTATTGATAAAATGACTTAGCAACATTCTTGCTAGAACTGGGCAATGCAAAGATGAAAATGGACACCCTATAAGGCCTAGCTGAGAAGAAAGTTCAGAGGAGTCTGACTAAAGGTAGGTTAAGGAGAGAGTCTTTATCACCTAGTTTGTCTGCACACCATCTAATACAACTTGCCACAGCAATAGGGGAGTTTTTCTCTTCCTAGTGTCTAATAGTCTTAATTTTATAATTTGCCTTTATTACTTCATATAAAAAGATAAAACTTTTAGTGTTTACATATGCTTGGGCACTATGGTAGCTATTTTAGACATTGTAAACCTAGCTCAATGGCCATTTAGAATTTACTTTAAAATATTGAGTGCTATGATCCAAATATTTTTAAAAGATAAGTTGTAAATTTTAAGCGTAAGTAATGATTGAAATCAGGCTTCCTAATGAACCCAAGTGATCCTAAATTGCCAACATAGATATTCTTTTTTTCAAAAGGATTTTATTTCTGGAAACTCATGGCTACTCTCTCTGCCCCTGGGCCTTTGTCAGGGACATGGGATGTACCCTGGCTCATATCCCTAGGCACAAGTACTAGGGAGAAAGTTAGGATATTTGTTCCTTCCATTTCAGAAGACTCCAAAGTTGTTTAATTTGAACTCTCTCTTTCCAGAGTTCAGCATACTTGAGCAAGAGGAATTATTATCAAACCCCTTAAGATAAAATATCCAATTATTCCTTCTCTCCTGACAAAGGATAGCTACTCAGCTGAAATGTGCACAATCAGTAAAACCACACTGGAGGTCTTTCAAAGGGCAAAGACTCTCTTCTCTAAGATGGAAGTGGCAATACTCCTTTAAGCTAGTTCTATATTTTATAAGATAAATTTTTGTTGAATCTCGAAGCAAGGAATGCTTATTCCTCTGATAATGACCAGGATAATTCCTTTGTGGGAAAAATACTCATTTTAAATGGAACAATCACCTTCAAATTTTTATATTCAATACAAGTTGAAAATTCTCTTTAAAATAAGGTAAAGCGTAGCAGTAGCCAATTAGAAAGCAAAGAACTAAATGCAAAACTTATCAGTTGTATAAAGTTACCTCCTATCATAAAAAGAATCCTCATAAAAGATCAGACCTAGTTCCTAGGTCAATATTCAAGTCTTATAAATTTAGATATATTACCAACTGGAGTATGACAAAACCCCATCTTAATATTTGAATCCAGATTCACCATAAAGCCCAACAGTTACAAATGGGTTCATAGCACATTATGACTAAGAAGTAATAAAGGACCCAAACTTCTGATTGTTACCTTAAATACATTAATAAACAGGAAAAAAGTAAGCTTTTTTCTTAGCATAAATTAAAAATATTTTTTCAATGAAGTTCTTCTAATAGCTAACACCTTCAATATTGCAGGGAAAAAATTTAATTCTATCAAAAGTACAGTTTCTATATACAAGTAAATATTCTCAATACAAGTAAATATTTAACTCTCAGGGGAGGCTTCAAGATGGCAGTCTAGGGGTATTTTGTATTCACTTCTTCCCCCCCAAAAAAAGAAAAAAAAATAGCAAGTAGATAATCACACTTTGGAAAACCCATCCAAGAGAGAACACTGGAATTTAACAGAAAAGTGACAGGCAATATCTAAAGCAAGAAAGGAGAAGGAATTGAGGCAGCCTACTCAGCCAGGATCTGCTGGGAGCCAAGAGAGGCTAATACAGGGAAAGTGTAAGTGAGAGACCCTCAGCAGTCCACATTCCCACCATGGACTCCTGCAATCCTGATCATGGGACAGCCCCTTGACTCTCTTGGGCCCTGAAACTAACATAGGGAGCTACAGAGAGATCATACAACCACGGCTCTGCCCCATGGAGGAAGCTCATGCTGGATCTCTCACATTCCCTGAGACCTTAGCAGCTACAGCAAGGAGCCGTTTTAGAACTCCACCCCTAACACACAGCACACTGTCCTGGAGCCCAGTGGTGCTGCAGCTGAGGTGCAAGACAAGCATTGGCTGCTGCCCGAAGGGCTGAAGCACAAGTACCATAGGCTACTGCACATGGGGCAGAGGTGCAACAGAGGTCTGGGATATTCTCTTTAGAACTGAGGTGCAAGTGAAACACAATTCTAGAGCCCTGCACCCGTATACTGAGCACTGTCTTGGAACCCAGCAGTGCTGGGGCGGAAGGCCCAGAGAAATGACAGCTGCTGCCCCCAGGACCTAGGCATCAGCAAGTGTGGGCTGCTATACATGTGGAAGTGTCACCAAAGTGAAGGCTACCACCAGGGCTGAGCAAGGTGCCATTCAGAGTCCCACCCCCAACAGACTGAGGACTACTCTGTGGCACTGCAGTGCTGGGACTGAGACTCAAAAGAAGATCTGACTGCTGACTTCAGGGCTGAGGTGCATACAGTTGCAGGCTACCACATCCAGGCTGAAGGATGAGTGCTCCCAGGAATGAAGTATAAGTGACATGCATGCTCCCCATCCGACAGCCCAGCCACTGGTGTCTCCCACCCTAGCCTTCCACTGGTGGCCTGAGGATTGCCCCACCCCTGCCTACCATGGCTAGTACCTATACATATCATCAGGGAAGCTGAGGGCAAGCCTGCCTGGCACAGCTTCACCCCTTCCAACTGTGACAAAGCACACAGTCTAGGGGGCCACACTCACTCAGCCCAGTACACCATTGCTGGCACTGGAACACTCCTCCCATGGGCCTACCCACCCAGCCACTACCACCACAGCTGGGGCCTACCTGCATACACCACATGCAGGCCTGGAGACTCAGCCACTCAGCCCATTGCAGCCACTGCCAACACCAGCCTGCACCACTCAGGAACCACAGGGTTGTCTTGCCACTGGCACTGCCACTGCCCATGCCACATAGGATGCCCAAGGGCCCCAAAACCTGCCCACTTCCCAGCCCACACCTGCCATACTGGGATCTGAGTAAGCCACCTGGAGTCCCAAGAATCAGCCCACCAGGACCCTCAAACACTAGTGCTACCTAAGCCATTCTGGGGCCCACAGACAGGCAAGCTCAGTCCACTGGAGCCACCACTAAGGTCTGAAGCCTGGTCTACCTGGCATCCAAATATCCAGCAAAACTGTACCATAGCCTCCACTAATAATTGCACCCTAAGCAATTGAGGAAACCTCAGATTCTACTGATGCTATTTACAGCCAAAGAGATTATACAGAGTCTACACTACTACACTCATCTAGCATGAAAACCAAAGTGCACTACCCTATCAACACCATAGATTCAAAGGAAGTGGAGGGTATGGGAGATGAAAAAAGTAGATTAATGAGTACTAACATATTGTTAGATAAAGGTATAATTTCTGCCATTAAAAAGCAGGGTAGAATAATAACATGTTATATATTTCAAAGTAGCAAGAAGAGAGAATTCAAATTGTTCCCAACACATGCAAATGGCAAATACTCAATGTGATGGATACTCCAAATACCTGACTGGATCATTACACATTCTATGTATGTAACAAAATATCATGTCTATCATATAAATATGTAAAATAATATGCATTAATTTAAAAAGTAAACAAAATGAAAAAATATTTAATTTATATACCTTTGAAAAATAGTAAGACAAATTAGACAAATAGTTCATCTTAAATCTTTTAGTATTCTTCTATAAGGAAAAGAAGTGCTTAAACTAAGCAAAAACAATACTGGATTTGACTTTTATAGAATATTACCTATAAAGAGTTATCCTACCTGGAAAAAAACGTTAAATTGTAGGTGGTCCCCCAAAATATTTCACAATATTTCTGTTACTGATAGAGGAAGAAGATTCTTAGTGTTTGTTGGCATTTAAAAGTTTGAAATTAGACTTTAGAAATATCAACTAACATATCACTCCATCAAATTGGTTTCTGGGTAGCTGGTGATTTTGTGCTACAAATTCCATGCTGAATGCTACTAATTTTATGTCTCTTTCAAAGATCAGAGAAGCTTTTATAGACCTCCCCAGGGATGTATTTTGAAAATAAAATGAGAAAATGCTTCTGAGAAATTTTTTAAAAAGAATATTGGGGCCCAGTATAGACCAATGTTGAAGAGGAACATTACATAGCAAATCCACTACAGCTTCCTCTCAGCTATAATACAATCAACAAGATGGATTTGTCAAACTTCTGCTTATCAGTGAGCTTCTGGACTGTGTTCAGTCCTCAGGATATACTCCTTTGCAAGACACAAAATTAATCACTACAGACATTGAAACACTGTATCATGTTTATATAGCATACACTATATGGCAAGTGTTGTAAATCTTCATGTATATTAATTCATATGATCCTCATCACAATTCTGTGATATGAGGTTAATAGTAAGCCTATTTTATAGATGAGTAGACTAGGCACTGAGAAGTTCTAGCAACTTTCTCAAACTCACACAGCTAATAGATAGCAGAGTGGGTATTTTTTCCCCAGGTAATTTGGCTCCAGGACCCATGCTTTTAACCAGTATATTAATATAGAGTGTCTTTTCTGATCTTGCCTTTTTAACCCTTGATCCCTTCCTCTGTTCCCATAGTCACCTTCTGGTTCCACACTTGCTGCTCCTGGTTTGCGTTTACCATTTTGCCTCATTTACATTTGAAAATCCATCTGTTGCCAATCATTATGACTAGGGTGATGATACATCCTAGTTTCTCCAGTATACTCAGGGTTTCTGCTTGTTGTATTGATATCATAATTCATAACACACATCCCCTCCCTCGTTAATTCTCAAAATTTTCAGTGTGATGATAAATTTTATGGCCACCCTAGTCATGACTGACTCAAAAACTTCATTAAAATGTTTTGGCTGGAAGCTCCCATCAGGCTGCAGACTTTATAACTGGGGCCACATACCACCACCTATTACCAGGACTCTCCAGTATTGCCAACAGTGTCCCTGAAAATGGTCATGCAAATGATAGTTACTTCTCTTGTCTATAAAAATGAGATAATAAATCAGGAGAGGACAGTGTAAGGTATAACATATTATTCAATCTAACTCTTACACCTAAAAAGTCAAAATTAGATAAAGCAGATTGAGTTTGTTTGAAAAAAAGGCAGCTGAGGAATAGGGAAAAACTAAGAGATGGAACTATTATAACACTCAAAGCCTTAGATTCCCACAAAAACCCATTATAATAGAATGAATAAACAATTTCATATATATATATATACATATACACACATATATACACACACACATCTTTTTTGAGATGGAATCTTGCTCTATTGCCCAGGCTGGTGTGCAATGGCACAACTTCAGCTCACTGCAACCTCCGGATGCAAGCAATTCTCCTGCCTCAGCCCCCGGGTAGCTGAGATTTCAGGTGCCCACCACCACGCCTGGCTAATTTTGTATTTTTAGTAGAGACGGGGGTTTCACCATGTTGGCCAGGCTGGGTCTCGAACCCCTGACCTCAGGTGATCCACCTGCCTCATCCTCCCAAAGCACTGGGATTACAGGCATGAGCCACTGTGCCTGGCCTACAATTTCAACAACATTGAAGGACATGAGGTCAGTTCTCAAAAATCAATTGTATTTTGATGCACTGTCAATAAACAATCTAAAAATGAAATCAATAAACAATCGCACTTACAATAGCATCAAAAATAACAGAATTCTTAGAAATAAGTAATCGAGGAAGTGTAAGACTCGGACATTGAAAATGATAAAGCATTGAAAAAACTTTTTAAAAATTAACAATCATTTATTAGTGTTTGTGAATTGGAAGACTTAATATTGTTACGATACTAATAATCCCCAAATTGATCTACAGATTCAATGTAATTTTTATCAAAATCACTGCAACCTCTGCCTCCTAGGTTCAAGCTATTCTACTTCCTCAGCCTCCTGAGTAGCTGGGACTACAAACCACCCAGCTAATTTTTGTATTTTTAGTAGAGACGGGGTTTCACCATGTTGGCCAGGACGGTCTCAATCTCTTGACTTCATGATCCACCCGCCTTGGCCTCCCAAAGTGCTGGGATTACAGGCGTGAGCCACCACACCTGGCCGAAAGCTGATTCTAAAATTCATATGGAGTTAGAAAAATCCAGAATAGGGAAAACAATTTGAAAAAAAAAGGGACAAATTTGGAGAACTCACCCTTCCCAATTTTGTTACCTACCTACAAAACTACAACAATCAAAACAATATGGTATTGACATAAAGACAGAAATAGAGATTAATGGAATGGAATTGAGAGTACAAAAATAAATCCTTATGTTTATGATTGATTTTTGACAAGGGTGCCAAGACAATTCAACAGAGAAAGAAGAGTCTTTTTAACACATGGTGCTGGGACAAATGGATATTGATATATAAAAGAATAAAATTGGAAAAGCTCCCTCACACCATAAACAAAAATGAACTCAAAGTAGATTGCAGACTTACATGCAACTTCTAAAACTGTAAAACTCACAAATGAAAATAGGTAAATCTTCATGACCTTGATTTGTCAACAATTTCTTAGACATAACACCAAAATCACAAGCAACAAAAGAAAAAAAAAGTGAATTGTGCTTCAATAAAATTAAAATATTTTGTGATTCAAACATCACTATCAAGAAAGTGAAAAGACAGCCCATATAAGGGAATAGATATTTGTAAAGTACATATCTGGTAAGGAACTAGTACCCAGGATATATTAACAACTCTTACATCTCAACAATAAAGACAAATAACTCAAACAAAATGGGATTTGAATAGAGATTTTTTTGAAAAGGATTTGAATAGAGGTTTTCCCAAAGAAAATATGCAAATGACCAATAAGCACCTGAAAAGATGCTTTAACATCATTAGTCATTAGGGAAATGCAAATAAAAATCACAACGAGGTATTAACCACTTATCAGATACATGGTTTGTAAATATTTTTTTCCATTGCTTTTTCACTGTATTGTTTCCTTTGCTGTGCAAAAGCATTTAAGTTTGATATAATCCCACTTCCTTATTTTTGCTTTTATTGCCTGTGCTTTTGGTATAGACCCAAGAAATTATTGCCAAGACAGTGTCAAGAGGATTTTCCCCTATGTTTTCTATTAGCGGTTTTATAATTTCAGGTCTTATATTCAAATCTTTATTTTAAGTTTTTTTTTGTATAATGTAAGATAAGGATCAAATTTTACTCTTTTGTAGGTGGATATTCAGTTTTTCTAATACCATTTGTTGAAAAAAACAATCCTATCCCAATTGTGTATTCTTAGCACATTTGTTGCAGAATAGTTGGCTATGTATGTGTGGGTCTATTTCTGAACTAGCTATTCTGTTCTATTTGTCTACATATTGCCTTTATGCCAGTACCATACTGTTTTCATTACAGTGGTTTCATAATATATTTTGCAAACCATATTTCTGAAAAGGGGTTAATATCCAAAATACATAAAACTCTCATAGCTCAATAGCACAAAACAAATAAACTGATTAATAAATGGACAAAGAACTTGGATAGACATTTCTCCAAAGAAGACATACAAATGGCCAACAGGTATATGAAAAGGTAATCAACATCACCAATCAATTTTCAGAGAATTGCAAATTAAAGCCATAATGACATACTACCCCATACTTGTTATTATGACTATTTTTTTAAGAAAAAAGTAAGTGTTGGTGAGGATGTTGTGAAATTGGCCCCTTGCACATTGCTGGTGGTAGTGTAAAATAGAGCAGCCAATATGGAAAATTGTATGGATGTTTTTCAAAAAATTCAAACCAGATATACCATATAATCCAGCAATTTCACTTCTAGATATAAATTAAAAATAATTGAAATCAGAATCTTGAAAAGATATCTGCACTCCCATATTTATTACATCATCATTCGCAATAGCCAAAATATCAAAACAATGTAAAACATCCACTGACAGGTAAGTAAAGAAAATGTGATATAAACATACAATAGAGTATTATTCAGCCTTAAAAAAATAAGGAAATCCTGTCATATGGAACAACTTGATGAACCTACAGGACATTATACTAAGTGAAGTAAGCCTTTCACAAAGGACAAATACAGGTATATCTCATTTTATTTGTGCTTCACTTTTTTTCATTTCACAAATATTGCATTTTTTTTTTTTTTTTTTTTTTTTTTTACAAATTGAAGGTTTGTTGCAACCCTACTTCAAGCAAATCTGTTAGCTCCATTTCTCCAAATATATGCTCATTTCATACCTCTAGGTCATGTTTTACTAATTCTTACAAAACTTCAAACTTTTTCTTCATTATTATTATATCTGTTATGGTAATCTGTGACCAGCGATGTTTGATGCTACTATTGTAATTGTTTGAGGACACCATGAGCTGTGCCCAAATAAGATGGTGAACTTAATAAACGTTGCGTGTGTTCTCACTGCTCCATTAACCAGCCATTAATCCATCTCTCTCCCTGTTTTCAGTCTTTCCTATTCCCTGAGACACAATATTGAAATTAGGCCACTTAATAACCCTGCAATGGCCTCTAAGTGCTGAAGTGGAGGAAAGAGTCACACATCTCTCACTTTAAAACAGAGGCTAGAAATGATTAAGAATAATAAGGAAGGCATGTCCAAAGATGAGACAGGTTGAAAGCTAGGCCTCTTGCACCAAACAGCTAGCCAAGCTGTGAATCCAAAGAGAAAGTCCTTGAAATAAATTAAAAGTACTACTCCAGTGAACATGCAAGTGGTAAGAAAGTAAAATAGATATGTAGAAAATTTTAATGATTTGGATAGAAGTCAAACCAGCCACAAACATTCCCTTAGGCTAAAGCCTAATCCAGAGCAAGAACCTAACTTTCTTCAATTCTATGAAGACTGAAAGAAGTAAGGAAGCTGTAGGAGAAAATATGGAAGCTAGCAGAAGTTGGTTCCTAAGGTTTAAGAAAAAAAGTTATCTCTGTAACATGTACGTATAAGATGAAGCAGCAAGTGAGGATGCAGAAGCTACAGCAAGTTATCCAGAAGATCTAGCTACGGTAATTGATGAAGGTGGCTACAGTAAACATTTTTCAACATAGACAAAAGTCTTATACTGGAAGAAGATGCCATCTAGTTAGAGTGAAGTGAGCCTGGCTTCAAAGCTTCAAAGGACAGGCTGACTTTCTTATTAGTGGGTTAATGCAGTTGGTGACTTTAGGTGGAGGATAATCATTCCAAAAATCCTAGGAGCCTTAATAATTATGCCAAATCTACTCTGTCTATTTTCTATAAATGGAACAACAAAGTCAGATGACAGCACATCTGTTTGCAGCATGGTTTACTAAATATTTCAAGTCCACTATTGACACCTACTTCTCAGAAGAAGATGCTTCCTAATGTTACTGCCCATTGACAACGCACCTGGTCACTCAAGAGCTCTAATGGAGATGTAGGAGGAGATTATTGTTGTTTTCACCCCTTCTAACAAAACATCTTTTCTGATGAATCAAGTAGTCATTTTGACTTTCAAGGTGTATTTTTTAAGAAATATACGTCCTAAGTCTATAGCTGCCATAAATAGTGACTCCTCTAACAGATCTGGATAAAGTAAATTAAAAATCTTCTAGAAAGGATTCACCATTCTAGAAGGTAAGCTGGTCACTGGAGCAGTGACAACACACATGACTATTCATCATTAAGAACATTCATGATTCATGAGAAGTCAAAATATCAACATTAACGGGAACTTGATTCCAATTTGGATAGGTTCAAAACTTGAGTAGAGGAAATCACAGCAGATGTGGTAGAAATAGCAAGAGAACTTGAAATAGAAGTGGGGTCTGAAGATGTGACTGAATTTCTCCAATCTCATGATAAAACCCTAGCCGGGAGCGGTGGCTCAGGTCTGTAATCCCAGCACTTTGGGAGGCCGAGGCAGGCAGATCACAAGGTCAGGACATCAAGACCATCCTGGCTAACACGGTGAAACCCCGTCTCTACTAAAAATACAAAAAATTAGCTGGACGTTGTGGTGGGCGCCTGTAGTCCCAGCTACTCGGGAGGCTGAGGCAGTAGAATGGCGTGAACCCAGGAGGCGGAGCTTGCAGTGAGCTGAGATCGTGCCACTGCACTCCAGCCTGGGCAACAAAGCAAGACTCCGTCTCAAAAAAAAAAAAAAAAAAAACCCTAACAGATGAGGAGTGCTTCTTATGGATGAGCAAAGAAAGTGGTTTCTTTAGGGAGAATCTACTTCTGGTGAAGATGTTGTGAACATTGTTAAAATGACAACAAAGGATTTAAAATATTATATAAACTTAGTTGATGAAGTAGTGGCAGGGTTTGAAAGGATTGACTCCAATTTTGAAAGAAGTTCTACTTTGGGTTAAACTCTATCAAATAGTATCACATGCTACAGAGAAATCTGTCAGGAAAGGAAGAGTCTATCAATGCAGCAAACTTCATTGTTGTTTTAACAAATTGCCACAGCCACCCCAACCTTTGGCAGCCACCACACTAATTTGTCAGCAGCCATTAACATTGAGGCAAAATCCTCTACCAGCAAAAAAAATTGTGACTTGCA
This sequence comes from Homo sapiens, assembly GCF_000001405.40. NCBI lineage: Eukaryota > Metazoa > Chordata > Mammalia > Primates > Hominidae > Homo > Homo sapiens. The sequence continues at coordinate 89,769,224 of NC_000007.14, forward strand.
GAAGACTCAAATAATCATTAGCATCTTTTAGCAATAAAGTATTTTAAATTAAGGTACATATTTTTAGACATAATGCTACTGCACACTTAATACACTACAGTATAGTGTAAATATAGCTTTTGCATCCACTGGAATCCCAAAAATTCATGTGACTTGCTTTATTGCAATATTCACTTTATCGTGGTGGTCTGAAACTGAACTCAAAACATCCCCAAGGTATGCCTGTATTGCATGATTCCACTTACATGAGGTATTTGCAATAGCCAAACTCATAGAAGCTGAGAGTAGACTAGTGTGCCATGGGCCTGGGGGAGGGCCAAATGGGGAATTGTTTAATAGGTGTAAAGTTTAGTTCTGTAAGATAAGCAAGTTCTAGAGATTTGTGTACCAACCTAGTGCCCATACCTAATAATATTGTAATGTGAATGTAAAATTTTATTAAGAAAGTAGATATTATGTTAAGTGTTCTTACCACAAAAAGATGGGGCCATGAGAAAGTGTTAGAGGTGATGGGTATGTCTATTACCTTGATTGCTGGGATGCTTTCAAGAAATGTGTGCATATGTCCAAACTCATCAATTGCACATTAAATATGCGCAGTTTTGTGTATATTGATTATTCCCCAATAAAGCTATTTAAATCACAATGAGATACCACCAACAATAAGAGTTGTTGAGAATATAGAGAAATTGAAGCCCTCATATACTGTTGCTGTAAATGTAAAGTGGTGAAGCCACTCTGGAAAATAGTTTGGCAATCCTTGAAAAGTTAAACATAGAATTACCATATGACCTACTGAGAGCAGTTCCACTTCCAGGTATATACTTAAAAGAACTGAAGACATAAGTCCAAAAAAACACCTGTAAATGAATGTTCATAACAGCATTATTCATAATATCCTCAAAGTGGAAACAACCCAAAGGTTCATCACTTAATGAATGGATAAACAAAATTTGGTACATCTGAAGAGTGGAATATCATTTGGTCATAAATAGGCATGAAGTAATGATTCCATACTAAAATATGGTTGAACCTTGAAAACATCATGCTAAATGTAAATTTCATTTATATGAAACTTCAGAATTGTCAACTCTGTAGTGGCAACAAAGATTAATGGTTGCTAGGGGCTGAAGTGAGAGGGGAATGGGAAATGACTAAGGGATATGGAGTTTCCTTTTGGGGTAATGAACATGTTCTGCGATTAGATAATAGTGATGGTTGTACAACTTCGTAAATATACTAAAAGCCACCGAATTGTACACATCGAAAATAAAATGTAAACAAAAAAATTATGTAAATAAAAATAAGCTTTAACATAAACAGCAAACTATCAATTAGGATCCAGGAAGACCAAATTAGAACCGGTGACAAAGTGTTTGAGTTTGTCATGTACTTTTGTGGACCTCACAAAAACTCTGGAAGAGGTAGTTTTTCCCAAGATGATGGTAAGGAGAATAGTCTATGCAAAACAATGTACTCCAGTGGCTCCTGGAGTTCAACTATTTCAAATGAAAGCACCCTCCCCTGCTTCAAGCATTAGGCTTCAGTGGACCTCTCTCCTACACATGGCCCTTAGGAATATCGTTTTTGCCTTTCAATTCAGAATCCTACTGATTCAGGAAACCATTCTCTTATTGTCAGGAGAATCATGTTTCTTAAAGTCTAAAATGTTATTATATCACAGATTTCAGTGAGAATCTGAATATTAAAGAGAAATAAATGGATTTCTAGAAGAACAAAATAGTGATTGTTTCTTTAATTACATTTTTGGCTATGAAAACATTTTAGTTCTCTCTTTTTAACAGAATTACCTGACAATATATTTATGGTGAATGAGTCACCACAACCAAATTATCCAGCCATTCCTAATTAATTTTTCATACATCCACATTTGAATTTATAGAACTTTTCTATAAAAGGCGGAAAAAGTAGTAGAGGAAAAAAATCTCTCTTTGACTTCTGTTCTTCAGCTCTTCAGCTCCCCACACTGGAGGCATAAAGTATTTTTAGATAATTTCTTGAGAGCAAAATTATTTTCAACTTTAGTCTAGGGTTTGGAAACCTAAATATACAGAGTATCTGCAAAAAAAAAAAAAAAAAATCTTATGAGGTGACTAACAGGAAAAAGTAATGTGTGTGTGTGTGTTTACATTTACCTTAAATGTATATGATTTGGCCAGCTAGCAGAGCCATTAAGAAGCTGTTAACAGTCTCCTAGGTAGTCAAGTGAATCATGGTGCTGGCAAAGTGGCCCAGATCCTATAATCTTGTAAATTGCTCTTGGCCGGGAAGCTACATGCATAGAGATATTCGACTTCATCTTCAGGAGCATTTACTTCAAGATACTTAATTAAATTTCAAAATCATTCCTATGTTAGTTTTATAGATCAATAAAAGTTCTTTCATGTGAAAATTGGCTAACTGTAAAGATGGAGGATGCTCCTGAACCATGGTTACACTTTGACCTAGATTGTACTTTGAGACAGAGCAGAAGATTCAAATACTTATTTATAAACACCCTCTAGTAATCACTGATGGTGACTGGTAGAAATATTAGGTCTTGGGTCTGCTGCAAAATTGAAATACAGAAAATACTTAAGCTGCCATAATTAGTTAAACCCAAGGAGAATTATGTATTTAAAACATTCTTAATGTTACAGTTTGAAAACATTTAGAACTATCCCACTCAGAGTTTCAGAAGCCGAGCTTTCCCAATTTCTACGTTAAAAATTCTCAAATGACTAGGTAAATTATACAAGTTTCTATCCCATTTTAAATGAGAATGTCATTTCCAGTGGTACCATGGCATATGAAAATTAATTTGGCAAAAATTAAATTACTCAGAAGTCACTGTATGACAACTCTCTGATAAGATGGCAATATAATCACTGTTTCCCTAGAAGATTAAGAAATTGTTCATCACATTCAGTGATGTCCTTCATCCCAGTGTAGGTATCAGTGAATTCATGAAATTGAACGCATTTTGTTTTTGAAACAAAAGCTAATAATTCCTACAGAAGCAATATTGTTTGAATGATTAGGATTTGAGTTAGACAATAACATCAAATCTAGAAAAGAAACCAAAGAAATCTTAAAAGCATGCAGGTAAAAGGACCTTAGCAAACATTTCATTTCACATATAAGGAATTGAAGTCAAGGAAGTTGAATGATTTACTCAAGGTCAACAAGCTGCTTCGTGACTAAACCAGATTATTTAAATAAATAAATCAACCAAAGGAACAAAGCAACTCTATAAACCCTAGGTTTTTAGGGTGTGGTAGATACACATTAACTGTGATTATTTTCATTCTACTTTTTCAGCAAGTTGTTTCTTTTTCCATTCTTAATGAAAACATACATTGTAAAAGTACACTTCAGTACAGTACAAATGACATTTAATATCAGAGAAAAATTATTCCATTGCCCTTTTAGGTTTGGCTCAGTTTTGAATACTGCCTGGTATGCAGTGGATGCAATAAAAATTCATTGAATGAAGAAATGCAATATTTTAAGCAATCAAATCTTCTTGATTCTGATTGTAACCTATTTTCAACAGCTTGAAAGAATGTAAGAAATGCAATTCAACATAATTATTTTTGTTAGTTTAATGTGAGATTATCACAACAGACAAAATCTCTATATTCAGCCTTTTCTAAAACTACGATTTGATATGAATGTGGTCTTTAAAGACTACACAATTTGAACTGCAATATAAATGTGCCAGGGGGATCAGCAATGGGGAAGGAAAACATTTTTTAAGTGTGCTCAATAGTGAACAAATTATACATTTTGCACCTGCAAAATACATAATGGCCGAAAGTTACATTTTCTCTGTACTTCCAAGTAAGCCATGCTGTAAAAAACAGGAGTTCAGGCTTTGAACTTCTTTCATTTGTCTTTGTTCTTTCTTGTATCAGATTGTACTATATACAAAGTTCCATCAAGTTAGTAGTTATTTAAACAGCAAAATACTTCTTTAGCAAAAAAAAAAATGGCAATTTTTTTTATTTTTATTTCTATTTATTTATTTATTTATTTATTTATTTATTTTGAGGCAGGGTTTCACTCTGTCATCCAGGCTGGAGTGCAGTGGCATGATCTCGGCTCACTGCAACCTCTGCCTCCCGGGTTCAAGCGATTTTCCTGCCTCAGTCTTCCTAGTAATAGGGATTACAGGTGCCCACCACTGCGCCCGGCTAATTTTTGTATTTTTAGTAGAGACGGGGTTTCACCATGTTGGCCAGGCTTGTCTCGAACCCCTGACATCAGATGAAATGGCAATATTTTTGTTAAACTATACAATGGATGTGTGAAAAGATTTGAACATGAAAAATTTAGCAGTAGTTTGTATTCCTCTTCTAGTTAAGTCTAATTTAATATGGTGACTTCTAAACCTCAAGATCCTGTGGCTTCCAAAGAAGTGGAAAGAAAAAAAATAAAATTGAGAGGCAAAGCATCTTTACTGAGGCCTGTCAAATTAGCATAATTGTATGCTCTCCTTATTTTTTTTGACAAGGATACTTACGTTTCACAGGCATACCCTATAATGGAATGTCTATCACTAAAAATCCAGTGGTGACATAAGTTTCAAAGACATTTTCATCATGAGTCATTAGACTCATCGGACATCTTTCAGAGAATAGGCTTGTCTCTCTCTTGCCTGGGAGCAAGCTCCTTAGAGGATTCTCTGAAAGGCCAACTACCTTTCCATGCTGGATGCTGGCAGCAAGTCCCCAAAGATATAAAGTAAACAATGCCAATATTCAGTTGATGTTTTTTGTCAGTCAAATTATTTTCAAATGCTACAGTTCTACCTCTCAGTGAGCAGTGTAATAATGACATTAAGAAATATTAAGGATATGAATCTGGAAACGTACCAGCAAAAATAATTCATTTCAGATTTTAATAAATGAAATATTTAGGATTTTATTCTTTTCTATGTAATTGGTTATAATTAAAATCTCAAGACTAGCTAAGATCAGCTATCTCTGATTACCTTGGCTGTTATGAATTGCATTTCTTTTTTTAAAAAAAAAACACACACACTTTATCTAATAGTTTGCACATGTATATTTTTATGTAATGCAGAAACTCTTGCTTAATGATTTTATTTTAAGAAATTAAATTTTCTTAATTTATTAGAAGTGATTTTATACAATTGAGGAGATAAGGAAATGTATTATCTGTAATAATTCTCAACTTGAAAACAATAGTATTGTAGAGTTTTAAGAAAATTTGTATTTTTCCCACAGGAGAATTATATTAAAACTTAAAATATCCCAGGGTGTTACTTAGAGTATTTGAAAAAGCACCCCAGTGGATATTAGAAGACGTAATGAAGACATATCAGCCATATCAACTTTAGACTCTGATTCTATCACCATAACTAATCATACAAATTCTTCAGTATCCTCAGGTAACATTCAGAATGGAAGAAAAGTAGAGAATGACAAGCCATACTTTATTGATCTCATATCACTTTTCAGCCTTTAAATATTGCAATGAGAATCCATTTAACGACTTTCATCTGGAAATTACTTATCACCTTTCAAGGACATAATGTAAAATTCAGTAGAAGTCAATATTGTTAACAGGGCAAGAGTTTCATGAACATAAGTTTTTAAATGACCAAAGACAGGGTTATGATCTTGCTATAGAAACTTCGATAACACAGAAAAGAAGAATGTGGAAATTGATTAGGGAATTTTTGTTGTTGTTGTTTTACTTGCTGTTTTATTTTGAAAGATTTCAAACTCACAAGTTCAAAGAACAAAATAATGAACTCCTATATACTTTAGACCAGTTGTTAACATCACACCACACCCCCACATTCTATCTCTGTGTGTTTGTGTGTATACCCACACGTTTGTGTCGATAGGTATATATGTGTATACATGTATTACATATATATTTATATGTGTTTTATATATACACATATATAATACACATGAAGCATATTCATATGTGTGTATACTCACACAGAAAGAGAGAGAGAGAGAGAACATGAGAGAGAAAGAGAGAGTTCTTTTCATTTTTTCAAATCATCCTTAAGTGGACTATGGGCATCATGACTTTTTAAGCCCCAAATACTTAAGCATAAACTCTGAAAAGCAATGACATTTTCTATGTGACCAGAAAACCATTATCACACCTAAGAAAATCAACCTCAGTGCAATATAATCCAAGGAAAAAATCTATAATAAAATGCCTGTATTGTTTCAAAAATGTTCTTTATACTTTATTTTTTTCCATCTGAAATCCAATCAATATTACAAAATACTTTGGATTTAACTTTTATTTTTCATTTGTCTCCTTAAATTTAGAACAATTCTCTGTACTCCCTTTGTTCTTTATGCCACTGAATCCTTTCAAGAGTTCAGGTCAGTTGTCCTGCAGAAAGCTCACATTAGTGATTCATCTTGTGTTGAAATTCAGGTCAAAGTTTTCTAGCAAGAATGATATATTGGTGACATTGTGTATCATTGAATCACATCAGAACCCTCATTTCAAGCTATGTTCCTACTGGCAATAAAAAGCTTGATTACTTGTTTAAGGTTTCCATCATAAAGGAAAAATTACCCTTTGTAATCAAGGAGTATTTTGTGAGGTGAACAAATTGATTATCTATGTTTGAATCAAATTGGGAGTTACAAAATGGTGATTTTCTAATTGAATCATCTTTTCTATTTTAATCAGCTGGTATTCTTCTGTAAAGAAGAGTTTTTCACCTTTCTCTGTCTTCCTTTCTCTCTGTCTCTCCTGTTTTCATTTATTGTTTTTCTTTAATATCAATATGGAGTCATGTTTTTAAAACTTTATTCCATGTGTTATAATTCATTACCATCATAATTTTGCAAAATTTAGACTGCTTCAAGCTGGCTCCTGTATCCTTTTAGCCTTACCCCATCCTTGTGTATTTCTTCAAGCTTTCTGTTACAAGAAGATGTTTCAGGCTCAATTTGTACTTTCCTTTGTGCAGATGTGAAAACAGCTATTTTTCCAAGGAGTCAAAATTCCTTTTGGTAGGATATTATATTTAGAAATCTAGATGTATCACTATGTTATACTGCTAGCTGCTCATTGCCACTAGGGTGTCATTGCTTCTATACACTTTCAGGGACAGATCTAGGAAACCACAAATACATACCCACAAATACACAGTTGAACTATAGATGTATATTATGGATGTATTATTCAACACATAGGTGAATTTTTATATATATAGAAGTACTGCATTTTATTTATAATTGCTGCAATATATAGGAATATATATGAATATATATATTTTTTTCAATAACATAAAATTATTTTCACCTTTTACCACTCCATATTGGCATCTCCCTTTACCCATAGTAAAAGTTTAACAATATCTTTATTTTATACATTTGCTTTTTCCTAAAACACATAAATAATGCTTTTAGAAATACAACACCAATATCACTACTAACAGCAACCATACTAAGTAAAGTCTAATATTCTTTATAGTGATTGGGAAGTTTTGTGTGTCCCAGAATATATTCCATTAAAAGCATAGAGCAAGAATATTATATTCAATAGTTATTTGAATTAATTATTTACTCTGGTTTCATTGTCCCTTTGAAAATATTATTTTTGTGTATTTCTCATGTGTTTTTATTCTTTTTAATTTTTTAATTTATTTTTGTCTATGGCCAGATCACCCTGAATGTGCCTGATCTCATTTTTTTAATGTAAATCATTTTTTACATGATTCATAATGTAAAGCTATATACACAGGCATAGTCAGAGAACCCTCAATTCTCTCCCTACATCTTCTACATTCTGACATTCCTACGCATCACTTCCTGAGCTTCTTTATGCAAAAACAAGCAAACATGCATATATCAATTGTCCTGTTTAATTAAAAAAGGTAACATTTTATATATCATCTTGCATACCTTGCTGTTTTGACTTATCACTATATCCTGAAGTTTATGCCACATCGGCATATAAATGGCATCCTCATTTCTTGTTACTGCTGCCTCACTTTCAATTTTGAATGTAAATTCATAACAGATGTGTCTAAGTTGTCATCAATATTTTTCAATTGACAAAAAACATGGTATGTTTTTATTATGTGCAACATGATATTTTGAAGAGTATACACATTGTGGAATAGTTAAATCTAGCTAATTAATAACCCTTTGCATATATTGTTGCATATTTGTGCAGATGACCACCAGCATAAATAACTAGAGATAGATTTGCTTGTCAAAGGATGTGCATATGCAGATTTGTTAGATATTTGCAAATTTACTACCATAAATTTGTACTATTTTGCAGTACCATTTGCAATGAGTGAAAATTACATACTTTGTTAAGATTTCCTTAGTTTTAGTTTTTATTTAATGTACCTTTTTCTCCAAGGTCCCATCAAGATACATGTTTAACTGTCATGTCCTCTTAAGTTCCTATTGGCTGTTAGCAATTTGTTTCTTACTTTTCCTTGTTTCTGATGACATTGACAGTTTTGCAGAATACTAGCCATATTTTCCCTTGACTGAGATTCATCTGGTGTTTTTTTCATGGTTAGATTGAGATTATAGGTTTTTAGGAAAGAAGACCATAAAAGTATATATGCCAATTTCATAAAATATAACATCATTTAAAGGCAACATTATCAGTATGACTTATCATTGTTGATGTCAACCTTGTTCACTTGGCTAAAGTAATGTTTACCAGATTTTTCCACTATAAGTTTACCTTCCTGCTTCTTTATCATTCTTATTGGAAAGAAGTTGCTATGGAAAGCCCGCACTTAAGGAGTAGGGAGTTAATACTTCATCTCTTTGAGGGCAAAGTACATAAACATTATGTCTTTATCCTATACTTTGAATTATAATCCAATACCACTTCATATCTTGTTGCTCAAATTGTTCCACTTTTGGCCATTGGGAGCTCTTTCATTTGGTTCCTGTGTCCCTTCTAACACACCCCCATTATTGTGTTTTTTTGCATGCTTTCTTACTTTCTGGTTCCACAATATGCTCTAGACTCACCTTGTACATTCTTGGCTCCAGTCATTTTTCCAAGAAACCCAGGCTGTTATTTTTATGGAAAATCATATTAGAAACCAAGCTCTGGATGCTAGGCATGTTCACTGCTATGAGAGTATCACTTTTTCTAGGTCCTCTCAGATGAAAAAGTAAGGAAATATACATGTATACTACTCTGTTTACATTTACATATCTATAAATATTTTACAAGTATCTATCTGTATCTGTCTTAAGCTAAAGAGGAGTTCACATGAATGTCCTCAACTCAAATCCATTACCACATAGATAAATTCTAGCTTTCTGCATCTGCTTATCTGTTTTCTACTATACCAACAGTGAGAAACCTGGCTCCCTTGATCCATTTATGTAATTTTTCAATTTGTATACATGAAGTGTTAACCTATATTTCTGTGGGATTATGACTATTATCAACTAGAGTACAGTGCTTATATAGAGCTCTTTTTGCCTTTAGGCTCACAGACTTCATTTATTTCCAAAATTCCTTATGTCAGTACTCTTTTCCTCCACACCTTTCAATGAGGTTGTTTCATGTCCTTGTAATACAGTTAGATTCTTGCACCATACTTTGCTTTCCATTCTGGGATCTCCTACTATCTTAAATGAACTCATTTTAACTTGCATATATTAAGATTCACTTTTTGTGCTGTAAAGTTCTATGCATTTTTTTTTTTTTTTGAGATGGAGTTTCCCTCTGCTGCCCAGGCTGGAGTGAAGTGGTGTGATCTCGGCTCACTGCAACCTCCACCTCCCGGGTTCAAGCGATTCTCCTGCCTCAGCCTCCTAAGCAGCTGGGATTACAGGCACCCTCCAACACACCTGGCTAATATTTGTAGTTTTTAGTAGAGATGTGGTTTCACCATGTTGGCCAGACTGGTCTCAAACTCCTGACCTCAGGTGATCCACCTACCTCCACCTCCCACAGTGCTGGGATTACAAGCATGAACCACCGTGGGCCTGACCAGCTCTACACATTTTAACAACTGCATAATGTCAGGTAAGCAACATTACAGTACTATACAGAATAGTTTCACCATCATAAAAAATCCTCTGTGCTTTTTCTATTCAACTCTCTCCTTTTCCCCAAGACCATCACCACTGATCTGTTTAGTGTAGTTTCACCATCATAAAAAATCCTCTGTGCTTTTTCTATTCAACTCTCTCCTTTTCCCCAGGACCATCACTACTGATCTGTTTAGTGTATTCATAGTTGTGCCTCTCCCAGAATGTCATATAAATTGAATCATACAG